>NC_000020.11:9460274-9611789 GCF_000001405.40 Homo sapiens | reverse complement strand
CTTGAGGCAGAGTTGGGCTCTCACACTCCCATATAGGGAGGGAAAAACTTTTTCCACTGTCTTCTGGGTTCTTCAGCTGAGGCCCTGCAAATTAGAGTTATGAAAGATAGGTGAAGAACAACAATAAAAACAAACAGACAGGCTGAAGTTTATTAGCACGTGCAGCTTGCATATACACGGGAGAACTCCGTGGTGAGTAACTCAAAGGGGTGACTAGACCTTGGGGCTTATATGGCATCTTAACAAAGATGGATAATTTTGTAGAGAAGTGACAAGAAAAGAGCTTTTGATGATTGGGGTGGCAAATTGTGGGAAGGTAAACACATGGGGAAACATATAAAAGATAGGGTTAGTGAGTAAGGTGTGTTTGTGTAGACTCTCTCAGTACCATCTCTTCTCTGATAATAAGGCCGTTATCCCCTTCCTGGAATGGCAGTTTGGGTGGGGGCAGGGACACCTTCACAACAGGACTTTATGTTCTGTTTTTGGGCAGATAGGAGGAGAGTAGAGAGTTCATTCTGAATCCACTTTTTCTCAATTGCCTCCACTTAAAATAATTCCTATTCCAGAGTGGCATATTACTCCCCGGCATTACCACTTCTCTGCCTATGCAGGCAAAGGGATTCCAATAGGCCAAGAACAGTCCATTGGAGATGAATATCTTGGTCCTTTCCTGCTGCTGTAACAAAATACAGGGAATGGAAAATTTACCAACAATAAAAATTTATTTCTCGCAGTTCTGGAGGCTGGAAGTCTAGGATCAAGGTGCTAGCAGGTTTTGCGTCTGGTGAGGGCACAGTCTGCTTCCGAGATGTCCATTTGAATGAGCACTGAAGGACAAAAAGGCCAAAAGGGGCAAAGGCCATGTCCTCTCGTGGCAGAAGAGATGGAGGGGAAATGGGCCCACCTAGCTCCCTTAACCTTTTATAAGGGCACTAATCTCATTCATGACATAGCCACCTCCTGACAGCCCCACCTCACACTGGGATTTCACTCCCAACCTGTGAAATGTGGAGGGACACATACATTCAAATGACAGCAATAAATTACGGGCACAGACCATTAGAAACAAAGCACACAGATGCCGAGGGAGGGACACGCCAGAACAGTTAAAGAAATCCAAGCGCATCTATGTAGCCTGTCAACAGAGTCTGCTACAAAGACCAAAAAGGAAATGCCTTAGGATCTTTTGCACATGCCGACATCTTATATTTGCCTATTTGTTAATTCAAGCATCAGGTACATCCCTTGTTTGCTATTTGGCTAAATATATTAATATATATGATCTTAAGTAATAATGCTGCAAGCACACTGCACCATGCAGAATCGGTCTACAGTCATGGGATGGAACCACATCAAAACCCCATGCCCAGCAGTTTTGTTTTAGAATTCCAGAGAAACACAACAGAGATAGCTGCCAGTACAGGCTTACTGTGCAAGGCCACATTCAAGCTCTACCTAGGGGCAGCATGCAAGGGAAGTGTTTAGTAATGATTATCTGGAGGATGCAAGCTAATTCTTCCATTTCTTTGATGCCTTCCATAGTGGCTATACCAATTCTGAAGACATTCAATATAAAAATAACTGTGAAGTTTATTAGCCAATTATATACATTCGGCTTTGCGTATGGCGGTGTGATTTCAGCTCTCACCAAGATACTTTCAGGAAGATGACTTTAAGACCTTGCGGTTGCTTTTATCTATCTTCACACCAGGGGGCAGGCTTGAGTCGTTTTTAATTCCTTTGTGTGTTGTTCTTAGAAAACAAAGGCTGTGTCTTATTTAAAACAAAACAAAACAAAAGCTACTACACTTGGTTACCTCAAAGGAAAAGTACCATTTGGCACTTACTTCTACCGTCACAGGCTGATTACAGACCTTCCATAGAATGGATTTAGAGTGTTACATATCCATCTGTCCTGTCTGGATTTCTTTCCACTCCATTTGGAACCATTTTTGAGGATCCATTTGAATTTTAAACAGGAAGACATAATGTCTATGCTAAAGTTCCACCGACTAATATACAGGCCAAAGTTTCCAAATTCCTAAAATTGAAAATTTGTCAAAATTTATAGTCATTTTTAATGTTTTGTGTTGCTGGTGTAAAATCTTCCAGGATAGTATGGCCAGTGCCCAAATGCAAAAACACCCTCATGTTCCTGCCTCTGATGGCTTTGACCACTGGTGGCTGAGGGTTGGCAGCAGAACTCCAGGACTGTGCCTTTGGTGGACTCATTTGCTCCATGTGACCCCCACCATAAACGCAGGCCTTGCAGAAGGAAAGGAAGAGTTTGCATCTCGGCCTGCTCTGTCCCCTTGAGTGTCTTTGCCTGGAAATTGTCAGTGTTTTCACACTTATGTTTTGCCCTCGACCTGGATATGTGGGCACCTATGCGAGGTTAAACTGTGATACTTTGATTTTCATCAATCTGGAAAGTGGTGGCACTAGCTCAGTTGCTTAGGGCAGGACAAACGGGGTTGCAACTGCAGGTGATGTCTTCATTTGACTCATTCTCTTGGCTGTGACTCTACCTGAAAGCCAACTCATCAGCTTGCAAATTACAGCCACTGAACTGGGCCTGGGGAGGCAAAGGCAAGTCTGTCTTCATTACTAGAGAGGCTGTGTAAAGTGCTTTCCCCTTCCCACCCAGCATCATGTGGTTGCCAATGCCTTGTTACACAAAGCCCAGGTGTCTGACTGCAAAGAGAAGCGGTTCTCTCATCCTGAGCCCTTCCACCAGGGGGTTGAATTCATATGTTCCCGACAATAAGTACAACTTGGTGAAGAGGCATCACTAATTCACGAAATCTGCAGATACGTTGCTTTATTCTTCATCATGTTGAAGATCCTTCATTTCTAAGGTTTTCCTTTTCTCTTCTTTTATTCTTGTTGCCATCACCAGCTGCATCAGATAGATGAAGGAGCAGCAGCTGGACAGTTTAATTTATTAGGGCTGTCAGGGCCAATCTACTGCTGATAATAGAACACAGTAGAAGTGGATCTGTCTAGTAAAGCACATTTAATCTAAATGATTCAAATAGTGTTTCAGCAGCTTCCTATAAATTAATTCATTTTAGAATCCCCCTATTAACTTGCTTTTAATTTCAGAATATGTGCACATTGCACACACATTTTTCTCTTAAAAATACCCTGTCTGCTCATGCAGAGAAGATATTTGATATTTAAAATATTTTTCCTCTGATTTTGAAAACAAGATTGAAAGTCAAATTAAAAGACATCACTTGAGATCATGGATGTCTGAACACCATGTCTTACCTAGAGACAATGGAGGATTACTTGCCAGTTCAAATCCACACCAGGAAGGAATGCTTCCACCTCAAGTTTTGGACTGACTGGCTGTCCTCCAAGCGCTGGAGTCCTCTTGGCTAAGGCATTCATAGAAACTTCCTAACTTTTCATTATTTCAAATAATCTCAAATTTACAGAAAAGTTACAAGTACCATATAAAGAACTTTATGTCCTGAATCTATTAAGTTGCCAACCTGACATTCTGTCATTCCAAATACCATAGTGTGTTACCTACCTGCTATAGAATGAATACTTGTATCCCTCCAAAATTTGTATGTTGAAATCCTTACCCTCAGTGTGGTGATATTTGGAGGTGGGGCCTTTGGCAGGTGATTGATTAGGTCAATAAGGGCAGAGCCCTTATGAATGGTATTAGAGTCCCTGTCAAAGAGACCCCATACAGCTCCCTTGTGTGAGGTTATAGTGAGAAGATGGCTGTCTGTGAACCAGGAAGTGTGCCCTCACCAGACACTGTTCCTGCTAGCACCTTGATCTTGGAATTCCCAGCCTCCAGAACTGTGAGAAATAGATTTCTATTGTTTAAAAGCCACTCAGTCTGTGACATTCTGTTAAAGCAGTCTAAATCGACTAATAGTACCAAAAAGAAGCATCATTTTCTTTTTCTCCTTTTCTTTTTTCTTTTCTTTTTTTTTAGACAGAGTCTTGTTGCATTGCCCAGGCTGGAGGGCAGTGGCATGAAGATCATATCTCACTGTAGCCTCAACCTCCCACGCTCAAGTAATCCTCCCACCTTAGCCTCCGGAGTAGCTGGGACTGCAGGCACATGCTACCTACCATGCCTGGCTAATTTTTTAAAATATTTTTTGTAGATACAGGGTCTCCCTAGTCTGGTCTTTAATTCCTGGGCCCAAGTGATCCTCCCACCTTGGCCTCCCAAAGTGCTGGGATTACAGGTGTGAGCCGCCATGCCTGCGTTTTCTACACAGCCACATGCCACCATCAACATTAAGACATTAACACTGAGACCTTACTGCCACTTATTTATCAGGTCCCAAGAAGGTTCTCCAGTTGCCCTAATAATGAAGATCCAATTGAAAGTCACATGTTGCATATTTTGTCATATCTCTTTTTAGTCTTATTGATTCCAGAACAGTTCCTCAGCCTTTCTTTATATTGGCCTTGGCACTTCTGAAGAGCACAGGCCAGTTGTTTTACAGAATGTCCCTCCATTTTCCTTTGGCTGACACTTTCTCATAGTCAGGTTCAGGTGATGCACCTTTGGCAGGACTATCAGAGAAGCCATAGTGGGCTGCACCATTGTTCCAGATTCAGTGTGTTTCATGGCTGGCGGCGCTCACTCTGATCACTCAGTCGAACATGGTGTCTGCCAGGCTTTTCAACTCCAACGTTACTCTTTTCCCCTCTGTAATTAGAAGGTATGGGAGGAGGAAGTTAGTAGAGAATATGAAATATAGACTTTCATTTTTAAAACATAAATCAGCAAAAGATCTTTTATATCAAATTTTAGTTAATTTTCTAAAATTGATTGGCTTTCTTAAGTCTCTTTGTTCTAGATGCACACAGAAGGAAATTATCTCTTGGTGTCTCTGTTTCTCATTTCATGGGGAGGCAGGTCCTACAATGCTTGAAAACCAAGGCCTATACTCTCTCACCCCTATGTTTTTAAGTTTTAATTGACATTTAATGTATTCTTTAAGTGCACAAGTTATGAAGTGTACAGCCCAACACATTTTCACAAAGGAAACACATCAGATCAAGAATCACGATGTTATAGACCCACCCCAGCAGATTCTCACCTTGTGTCTGCTTCCATTCTCAATCACCTCCATGGGTCACCGTTGCCAACTATACATTTTGCTGGTTTTTGAACTTAATTTTCATGGAATTCTTTAGTACCTGTATGATTGTGCCTGATTTCTTTCACTCAACATTATGATTATGAGATTCAGCCTTATTCATGCCACTGTATATAATTGTAGTTATTGCCCCTCCTGGGCTACGGTCCACATGTGGGGTCTTTTACTCCTTCCTTCACTTGACAAGCACCTGTGTATTAGTCCATTCTCACACTGCTACAAAAAATTAACTAAGACTGGGTAATTTATAAAGAAAAGAGTAATTGGCTCACCTCCTCTGCAGGCTGCACAGGAAGCATGATGCTGGCATCTACTTGGTGTCTGGGGAGGCCTCAGAAAACTTACAATCATCGGGGAAGGCAGAGGTGGAGCAGATACATCACATGGCTAGAGCAGGAGGAAGAGAGGGCGGCAGGAGGTGCCACACACTTTTGAAGACTGAGATCTTGTGAGAACTCACTCATTATCATGAGAATAGTACCAAGGGGATGGCACTAAATCATTCATGAGAAGTTCACCCCCCATGATCCAGTCACCTCCCACCGGGCCCTACCGCCAACATTGGAGATTACTATTTGACATGAAATTTGGGCAGGGACACAGATCCAAATCATATCAACCTACTAAGCATCCAGAAATTTAAGTAAAGTGAGTAACACTGGTGCTTACACTTTTGACCATCTAGTCTGTCTAAATTCTCTTCACTTTTTTTTGAGATGGAGTCTCGCTCTGTCACCCAGGCTGGAGTGCAGTAGCGCCATCTCGGCTCACTGCAACCTCCACCTCCAAGGTTCAAGCCATTCTCCCACCTCAGCCTCCCCAGTAGCTGGTATTACAGCTGCATGCCACCACACCCGGCTGATTTTTTGTACTTTTAGTAGAGACGGGGTCTTACCATGTTGACCAGGCTGGTCTCTAACTCCTGGTCTCGAGTGATCCGCCTGCCTTGGCCTCACAAAGTGTTGGGATTAAAGGCATGAGTCACCTTGCCTGGCAATTCTCTTCACTTTTAACCCAGTGGGGAAGCAATAGTAGTTGTCCACTGTATACCTGACACTGTGCCAGGTGTTAACACATACCATGTCTCACTTAATCCTTCCTCCAATCTAGCAATATATCATTATGTCTGTTTTTTAGGGAAGGAATCTGATATTTACAGAGAGGTTTCCATAGTTCGCATAAGACCTTATAGTTAGGTGACAGAGCAGATATTCAAACCTACATCTATCCATGTGCAAAGCTGGCTACAGCAGTCATGAAGATGCCCTGCTTCATATCCCCTGAACACACCTGAGTTTACCTGCAGCTTTGGTGGACTCATCTCATGCACACTAACAGTTTCTCTCTGCTCTGTGTCCAAGGGCTTTCTCTGACATGACAATCCTGCCCAGAAATGCCAGGCAATGAATGCCCCCAAAGGTAATCCTTAACCAATGTGGAAAGGAAGTTCTTGGATAAATACCCCCGCTTCTCTGACCTGCATTTGACATGGCTCTGCAGGGCATCTGCTGCAGCACAGAGGCCCAGTTGCCCACAGCATTAACCAGCTCAATGGGGCACCCAATGTGGATTTCTCTCATTTTCATTGCACTTTCTTCAGTCTGTCATGTGGCTTTCTGGAATCTCCTCACAAATAAAGAACCTGCACTAAAGTCCTTCTTCCTTGAGTTGCTTTCAAGGGAACCCAAATTAGAACACTTATTCTCTCTACAGTTCCTTGTACTGGGGTACCTAGTGCTTCTGAATAAAGCTGCATCCCAGATAACGCCCCAGTGAGGAGTTGTACAAGCCTGGGCTTTTCCTCCCTGCCATAGAATGCCTAGCCTACAGCATTCCATGGCCCCTTGGAGGCGGAAAACTGACAAGACAACCAGGTATCTTTTCTCTAAATGTCTAAAGAGGGAGGAGAAAGAGGTGTCATTTTGGTGTGTGGGTGGCAAAGGGACAAAGCAGATCAAGCTGGAGGGACTCACAAAGCAGGAGGAGTCATTAGAGGTCACAAGTTTGGATGCAGGGGTGTGAATAGGATTTCTAGCTAAGAGAACAAGCTTTGGCTCTAGAGAGACCTGGCTTCAAAACCTGATTCCTCCACTTAAACTATAGCTTTGTGACCTTCACTGAGTGGCTTGTCCTCCATACTTCAGTGTCCTTGTGCCATATGCTGTTGTGTCAAACTCCTGTTAACCTCAATAGCAAAGGGGACCCCATTCAAGAGGCCAGAGAAGAGACCCAGAGCCAGAAAATGAGACATGGGGTTTTATTAGGGGGCTCACATACAGGGGAGAGGGTCCAGTGGCAGGAAAACCGCAATTGCTTGCAAATAGCATGCAGTTTATGTAGCATTTTCACATAGCACCTTCCCCCTAATGACATCCAGCTGGCAACCTTCATTTAACCCAAAACTCAGGACCTCAGTGCCCTAGGCAGCTTGTGTTCCACAGAAGAGCCCAGGGGCTCTGATATTTGTCATTGACAAGGAACTAATCAGGTTGGCCACTCCCGGATGCCCTAGCTTGGAACACACATTCAGGTGCATCTGCCATACAGGGTTATTCTAAGGATGTGTTTAAGTTATTGCTATCAGGTGTGTTTACCCTGATATCAATAATTTGTGGTGTGGTGATCATAATTCTGCCAATCTTATAGGATTTTTTAGCGGATTAAATTTGAAAATATATGTAAAGCTCTTAACACAACTGTCAGGAAGTAAAGCTTTTTTTATGACGTTAGCAATGTGAATGTAGCAGTGAAGATGTGGGTTCTGTAGCTAGACGGCCTGGGTTCAGAGGCACAGCTTTTCTACCTCCTGGCTCAAGACTCAGTTTCCACACCTGTAAAATGGGGATAATAGTGCAAATCTCATACGGTTGTTATGGAGATTATATACAGACAGAGAGGGAGAGCAGGCACTTCAAAGGGTGTGTATAGCAGCACAGCATAAGCACTCTAATGTTATCTGTAAATCTAGAAAAATAACTTGAATCCATAAGCTATCTGGAGTCAGGAAAGCCCTATCATGGGTGAGGATGTACACAGTTTTGCTTAACTAACGTACCAGTTGGGGTATTAGCTCATCAAGAAGAACAATATGGAAAGACAGTCTTAAATGTTTTTCTCAGGCAGAAGCTGTATGTGAGCTGGGGATCAGCCAGGGAGAGGCAGAAACCTTTGGGTGCCAGGAGGAGCTGATTCTCTGATATAAATAGGGCAGAACTTGGAGTCTTCAGGGAATGAGGTGGAATGAATGGAAGGGATTCACAGAAGCGGGAAGAAGAAAACAGAGAAGGTGGAGTTGACACAGATAAAGAAAATGGATGGCTACCTCCTCTCTTCCAGGTAAAGCTTGCTGCTGCCAATGTGTTCTCCCTCCCCAACTAGAAACACTTCCCAGGAAAGGCCAAAAGTGCTTGCATTACTTCCTGAGAGCTCCATCTACCCAGAAAGTCACTGTGTCATTGGCAGGTAGCTTGTAGGCCATTTGGCCATTTTCTACACCGGAGGCGTCTATAATCTTTCCCCTCCAGGGCACCATTCCTTCCAGCTTGCTGCACTTTGTGATGCTTCCGTGTTGAAAGTAGTCCCTCCCACCTTCCTGGGTTCTTTGCTAAGATAAAATGAGGCAAAATAAATCAACTTGGCTTTCACATCAAAGCCACCTCTGTCTAAACCATCTGTGACTTAGAGGAATTAGAACTGAAATTCGTGAGTGATGACATCTTTGTTTTGTTTGCTTGCTTTTTGGTTTTTGTTTTGTTATTTTCTAGTTAGAGTAGATTGAATAAATGGATAGTTTTGCCTGCTAAAGCTCTGTTACATGTACAGTTCAGGCAAGATGGGGAATATCCTTGGATTCAGTTCTAATTATTCCCTCAGAGGAAACCGAACTTTGATTGATGAAGAGGATCCTTTCTGTGTTCAGCTCAGATGCTGTGGTCACGTTTGACTGATTTGGAGCAGCTCTGAATCTCAGCTCTGTCAAATATTGCATGTAAACCAAGCTTCTTACTAGCTACTAATCTAGCATGGAAAAGTCCTGCAGTGCAAAATGATGAGAATAGAATGATCTGCAAAAAGAACTTTTAGATTCTCAGAAACTGACTGACGAATCAGCCTGAAGCACTAGCCATAAAGATAATTAATTCATGACAGGTGAGCATCTGTAGTAAGCACATCCCAGACACCAAGGGGCTGTGCTCCACCTGAATACAATGCAGCTAGCCATGGGCACTATTATTCCCTAGGTTGTATGGTAGCAACATTAGGAGCAAGGGGTCTGCATTCAGACATTACTGGAGTTTATTTTATTTATTTATTTATTTATTTATTTATTTATTTATTTATTTATTTATTTTTGAGACAGAGTCTTGCTTTGTTGCCAGGCTGGAGTGCAGTGGTGTGATCTCGGCTCACTGCAACCTCCGCCTCCTGGGTTCAAGTGATTCTCCTGCCTCAGCCTCCCAAGTAGCTGGGACTACAGGAGTGCACCACCACACCCAGCTAATTTTTGTATTTTTAGTAAAGACGGGGTTTCACTATGTTGACCAGGATGGTCTCGATCTCTTGACCTCGTGATCCTCCCGCCTCGGCCTCCCAAAGTGCATTCCTGGAGTTTAATCCCGAGTTCACCAGTGTATTAGTCAACTATGGTTGCCAAAATGCTACATAGCAAACAACCCTACAAATGCTAATGACTTATAACAGCAAACATTTCTTTTTCTTGCTCATGGGTCTTAGGCTGGTAGGGTTACTCTGCTTTGAGGTTCAGGTCACTTAGAGTTGGCTGCGGGTTTTAGGTTGGGTTCAGGTCTGTTCTGGACGCCTCTTGGCATTTTTTTTGGACCAGCAACTGCCCAGGTCAGGTTTTTTTCAGGGCAGATGGCAAAGACTCAAGGAACCAGTCGATATATATAATAGCCTCTGCTTTTGTCAGTTCACCAACATTCCAGTGGCCAAAACAAGACACGTGGCCAAGTTCAAAGTCAGTGGGTCCCACTCTACTGGGAGGCTCTTAAAAAGTCACATGCAGACGGTGAGATATATCATCATCACAGGGAAGGAGGGAAGAATCGAGAGAATATTTCACCTGCTACAACCACTAAAAAAGCTATGGAACCTCAGTCAATGCTTGTAACTTCTTCTTTCTGATTTGTAAGATGAGGTGTAATAATAATATAAGTCTCCTAGGGCTATTGGGACGATCAAATGCAAGAGACAGATGATAGCACATAAAGATTAATAAAGGGGAACTTTCTTGTTATAGAACCAACCCTTTCTGTTTTAACCCTTTTTGTCTCCTGACCTCTTTCCCCCATTCTGGTAGCAACTCTCTTCCTCAATTTCTAAATTCTTGGAAATTCTGCTTGCTTTCCTCTCATTTCCAGGGCTAATTCAAATTATTATGCTTACACATGAAATTAAGGCAATGTGAATATCTTTGCAGACTCTCCCTTGTAATAGGCTGTGGGAAAGATAGATGGGAATCCAGATATCAGCTTTATTATTATAAAGCCCCATTTACTAAGGAGGCCTTGTACAATATACACCTCTATCTCACCCTCCAGCTTAGATATAAGAGAGAGCTCTGCAAGGCTGATACTGGTCAACCTGCTACAGAGGAGTCACTTTACACACACTTACCTGCCTGTTTGGGGTCAGAGTGGGACTCTTAACCTCCAGAAGAGAAGTTCTGGGTCCTTACCCCATGGAAGTAGAAAACACAGGCTATGCAGACAGGAAAACTCTCCAGAAAAAATGAAGAGAAGGTCCTTTGAGCCATGCATGGGCCCTAACCGTTCTCCTTTCTCCCCTGCCAGATAAGCCACACTCCCTGCCACATGCAGATGAGTAGGGGAGGTGGGAGAGAACAGAAGTATTATTCCAGTGGAAGACTCTGCAGGGAAATGTGAGGACAGCAGAGAAGCAGTTCCCCTGACAACCTGTTTTGCAGATAAGAAAGGTTAATCCCTTGCTGGGAGCTTTCTATCCAGCAGAGAAATCAGCAGCCTTAGAGTCAGTGGCCTGGACTAAGATCAATAATGGTTATCTATTATGACAAATAAGTCTGTGTAACAAAGCACTCTGAAGCTAAAGAGCTTAAAATACACTCAAACTGCAAAACATTACTGAGAGAAAGAAGACATAAATAAATGAAAAGACATCCTCTGTTCATACATTGGAAGACATAATATTGTTAAGGTGAAAATGCTACGAAAGTCATCCATAGGTTCAATCCAATCCCTATCTAAATGTCAACAGTGTTTTTTACAGAAATAGGAAAACCATCCTAAAATTCATATGGAATCCCAAAGGGCCCAAATAGCCAAAACTCTCTTGAAAAAGAACAATGTTAGAGGATTCACACCTCCTGATCTCAAAACTTACTACAAAACTACAATTAAAACCAAAATAATATTATAATGGTATAAGAACGGACATCTAGGCCAATGGAATAGAATATAGCACTCAGAAACAAACCCTCACATATGAGGTCAGATGCTTTTCCACAAGGCAACCAAGACTATTTAATGGAGAAAGGATAATCTTTTCAACAAATAACGCCGGGAGAACTGGATACCCAACAGCCTAAAAAATGAAGGTGGCCCCTTATCTTATACCATATACATAAATTAACTCAAAATGGGTCAAAATGTAACCACAGAAGTTAAAACTATAAAACTTTTAGAAGGAAACATGGCGGAAGCTTCATGACATTGGATTTAGTAATAATTCCTTGAAAATTACACCAAAAGCGCAAGCACCGAAAGAAAAAAAATGATAAATTAGACTTATCAAAATGCAAAACTTTTTGCACTGAATTACACTGTTAAGAGAGTGAAAATCCGTAGAATATGAGAAAATAGTTGCAAATAATATATCTGATAAGGGATTAATACCCAGAATATAGAAAAATCTGTAACAACTCAGCAACAATAAAAAGAAACAGCCCAACTCAAATACAAGCAAAAGACATAGCTAGATACTGCTCCAGAGAAGATATATAGATGGCTAATAAGTGCAGGAAAAGAAAATCAACATAGTCTGAGAAAATGCAAATCAAAAATCACAGTGAGATACTAAGTCACACCCATTAGGATGGCTATGATTAAAATAATATTTTTAATGGAAAATAACAAGTGTTTCAAGGATGCGGAGACATTGGCATCCTCATGCAGTGCTGATGGGAATACCAAATGGTGCAGCTGCTGTGGAAAACAGTTTGTTGATTCTTCAGAAGGTTAAACGTGGACTTAACTCTAGCAACTCCACTACTCAGTACACCCAAAATAGTTCAAAACAAGGACTTGAACAGATTATTGTATATCAATGTTCACAGGAGCATTATTCACGACAGCCAAAAGGTGCAACAATCCAAATGTCTGTTGACAGATGAATGAATGGATAAACAAAATGTGGTAGATATTATTCAACTTTTAAAAGGAATGAAATTCTTATACATGTTACAACATGGATGCACCTTGAAAACACTATGCGAAGTGAAATAAACCAGGGACAAAAGAACAAGTCTTGTGTGATTTCACTTATATGGGGAAGCTAGATAGGCAAAGTCATAGAAACAGAAAGTAGATTCGAGGTTACCAGGGGCTGGAGGGAAGGGGAATTATTGTTTAATGGGTACAAAGTTTCTACGTGAGATGATTTAAAAAAAGTTCCAGAAAGGAATAGTGGTGATGGTTGTACAACACTGTGGATTGACTGAATACCACCAAATTTTATACTTAGAAATAGTTAAAATGGTAAATTTTATGTATATTTTACCACAGTATAAAAAGAGTTTAAAACAATAAGCATTTATTCAAATTTAAAAGAAAAAAACATACAGCCCCATCAAAAGTGGGCAAAGAACATGAACAGACACTTCTCAAAGGAAGACATTTATGCGGCCAACAAGCATATGAAATAAAGCTCAACATCACTATCATTAGAGAAATGCAAATCAAAACCACAATGAGATACCATCTCACACCAGTCAGAATGGTGATTATTAAAAAGTCAAGAAACAACAGATCCTGGCAAGGCTGTGGAGAAATAGGAATGATTTTACACTGTTGGTAGAAATGTAGATTAGTTCAACCATTGTGGAAGACAGTGTGGTGATTCCTCAAGGATCTAGAACCAGAAATACCATTTGACCCAGCAATCCCATTACTAGGTATATACCCAAAGGAACATTAATCATTCTATTATAAAGATACATGTATGTATATGTTTCTTACAGCACTATCTGCAATAGCAAAGACACGGGATCAAGCCAAATACCCATCAATGATAGACTGGATAAAGAAAGTGCGATATGTATACACCATGGAATACCACACAGCCATAAAAAGGAATGAGATCATGTCCTTTGCAGGGACATGGATGAAGCTGGAAGCCATCATCCTCAGCAAACTAACACAGGAACACAAAACGAAACACCGCATGTTCTCACTCATAAGTGGGAGCTGAACAATGAGAAAACATGGACACAGGGAGATAGGCCAGGAACAACACACACTGGGCCTGTCATGGGGGGAGGGAAAGCATCAGGATAAGTAGCTAATGCATGCAGGGCTTACTACCTAGGTGAGAGATTGATAGGTGCAGCAAGCCACCATGGCACATGTTTACCTATGTAATAAAACTGCACGTCCTCCACATGTATCCTGGAACTTAAAATAAATTTTTTTAAAAACTGTTTATTGTTCCTCACAATTCAGCAAGTTGGCAGTTTGGCCTGTGCTTGACCCATGGTTCTAGCCTCATCAGGGCTCACTCGCATCAGCTTCTGAGTTGGCTAGAGGCTGGCTGGCCTAGCATGGCCTCAGCTGGAAAGACTGGTCTCTGTTCCTCGTGTCTCTCATCATTCACCAGGCTAGTACAGACTTGTACACATGGTAACCAGGCAGGATTCAAAGCTGCACAGCCTCTAGAAACGTAGACTTGATTGGGCACAACATCATCTCTGCTGTATTCCATTGGCCAGAGCTAAACCCAAAGTCAAGGGAAAGGGAAACAGACTCCATCTCCTGATGGGAGGAGGTGCGGAGTCACACTCCAAAGGACATGCATACAGACAGAAGAGGAGAATTGGAACCACTTTTGCATCAACCTACTCGAGTTTGGTTCTGACATTGTTAAGAATGTGTCAGGACACCAAATGGCATGTGACAGGATGTGCTCATGTAAGTAACCTAGGATTTGTTCACATAAAGGGTCAGTGCTTGTTTTAGGAATTTAAAAGTGAAGGAAAGCATACACAAACCTCAGTTCATGCATACAGTTTTCTCTCCCAGTAGGTAAGCACCTATCAGATTGTTTTTCAATCAAGCCAGCTGCTTTGCACTTTGTAGGAGCTGTAACTATCTGGATTAGCTGAGACATGGAGAGAGCCTTCAAAGCAACAGAATTTTGAAGCTAGAAGGGTGCCAGGGAAACCCTCTCAGTACAGATAAGGACCATAGCCCCAGCAAGGGAAAGTGATTTGGTGAAGGCTTCATAGTTGCCACAGATGGAACTTGCACTAGAATCCAGATTGCCAGATTTATAATCCAGCACTCTCTCTAGGACATGGTGCTGATTTCATTTTCCCTGGAATATGTAAACCCCAGTTCAGCCACCAAGGGAACACAATCTATTCTTTGAGACCTTGCAACTAAGAGCATGCTCTGCAGCCAGCAGTATTAGCCTCACCTAAGAGCTTGTTAGAAATTCAGAATATTGAGCCTTATGCCAGACCTGCTCCCTTGGAGTCTGCTGTTTAAGGAGATACCTGGGGCATTTATGTGCCAAGTAGGGTTTAATACGCACTGCATTAGGACACGGGTTTTCAACCTCAAATACTAGGAATTGCCTGGGAGAGGTTTAAAACTACCACTGCCTGGTCTTTACCCCAGAGATTCTTATTTATTAAGTATTTGCTCTTGGGTGCAGTCTGGGCTAAAGGATTTTTAAAAGCTCCTCAAGCCACGACTTCTCTGTAGTCTTTTTTTTTTTTTTTTTTTTTTTTTGAGACGGAGTCTCGCTCTGTCGCCCAGGCTGGAGTGCAGTAGTGCTATCTCAGCTCACTGCAAGCTCCGCCTCCTGGGTTCACACCATTCTCCTGTCTCAGCCTCCCGAGTAGCTGGGACTATAGGCGCCCACCACCACGCCCGGCTAATTTTTTGTATTTTTAGTAGAGACGGGGTTTCACTGTGTTAGCCAGGATGGTCTTGATCTCCTGACCTTGTGATCCGCCCGCCTCGGCCTCCCAAAGTGCTGGGATTACAGGCGTGAGCCTCCGTGCCTGGCCTCTGTAGTCTATTTCTAAGATGCTGAAGACATTGGCAGCTTTTTATATAGTTTTCTGTCTGTGCAGTGGGGTAGTATTTTCCTAAAGAGTAAACAGCCTTCAGAAGACCCTAGTTGATTGACCTGCTCCAGCATCCTGGGTCAGATGTAAGATCAAGGGATTTTAAAATTGCTGAGGACTACTTAAATACATTTTCATAAGGGAGGAAATTAAAGACCAGAAGTGGTCATTGAGAGGAATTTTTTAAAAATCAACTTTGTTTCCCAAGTGGAATAGCATTAATGTACAATGAAATTCCATGTAATAAAGGTGTGGCAAATTACATAGTTCAACAGTGAAGGCCAAGAAACACGTAAATTATGGAAGGAAGAAGAGACAGAAGGGAATGCAAGTAGACTACAGGCCTTACACATGAACAAAATCAATAGTTAAGCTATAAATTTGATTTTTTTCAAGCCTCTGGGGAGTCCATTTGAAACAGTTACAAGATTTCTATCAACAGAAAAGGGGAGTGGGAAAAGCAGAATTTCCTCTAGGAAAGCCAAGCTTTCTAACTCTAATTTGTAAATAAGTGTGTCAGGAGGCCTTTCTAGGGGGACACTTAATGAAGTAGCGAACGATGTCTTCAAGAACATTCCTGGGCCAAAACACCCCTGGATTTTATGTTTCTTGTTAAAGAACCCCTGGATTTTATGTTTTTGTTAAATCTGTGGTCTTTATGTGAAAACAACTGATAGAATACAATTTTGGAAACAGGAAAGATAATGTTGTTTGAGTCTCTTCTGATGTGTGTGTTTTGCTTTATCTAAGATATAACTAAGCTTTATCTGAGATATAACTTAGAGAAGAGGAGCTTCAATTTGGCAAGGCAGCTTAGAGAGGAAAGAAGTGGATCATCTCTCTTTGTTGGTACAAGGGTTTGTGCTGTTCTGTTAGTATCATTGAGGGAATCAATGGGATTATTCAGTAAACTCTTTTCAGAGTCCTGCATTCTGGACTTAAACTTGCCCTCTTGGATAAACACATGGGATAAATACGCTCCATCATTCAGTCACAGAATGCATTCTAGGAGCATAATGTCCAGAGGTGCCCTTGGTGTTGTGAATCAATCATTTTTCCTTTTCTGTTTTGAATTGCTGTTTCTTTTTCTATTAAATGAAAGAATGACCCTATTAATCTGAAGTTTAGGGGCTAGATTTTTTTTATTTGATACTATCTCTCTCTCTCTCTATATATATGTATATGTGTATATATATGTATATGTGTATATATATATGTATATGTGTGTATATGTACATATATGCACACACACATCTAAATACACCTAAATATACATATATCTAAATGTATGTGTATATGTGTTTATATATATCAGTAAATTCTCTCCGTAATAAATATATGATTTTATATATACACAGAGGGAATGGACTGATTTTAAAATCCTTATTGAGTTGAAATGGTTTGGATCATGAAAAGGGGACCTTAGGAGTAAAGACTAAATCAAAGGCAAATGGTTGTGGACCAAAATTAGGGCTGTCGAAGCAGAAGTTGATTAAAAAGATTTATTGGAAGTCAAATGTGAGAAATGACCTGGGAAAACACACCAGCAAAGTTGGGAATGATCCAAAGTCTGTTACAAGTTGGAATGCTTTTATAGGAAAGTATGGGAGAAAGGAGAGGGACTCCCATATCAGAGTTGTCCTTTTTCATTGGAGGGTACAATACAGGGATTATTGTCATTGTCTACAGATTGCAACATACAGGCTAACACATCTATGTGCAAGACAATCAGTGAAATTTCCTGATTCAGATACAAACCAGCAAAACTTCATAATTCAGAAACAAATCAGCATCCTTTTCAATGTCAGTAGGTTACTCATTAATCAGTGTGTCAATAAGATAAGGAACTCAGATAATTCTTTACTCAGGAACAGGATGTTGCCATGAATCACAAGACCTCCCCAAGGCAGACTAATTTAGAAGCCTGCAAATGTGACCTGCAGGTTGTCTTGGTTGACCAGTGCTGTCCAGACTTCAATGTATATTTTAATTACCTGGAGATTTTGTTAAAATGCAGATTGTGATTCAGTAGATCTGGATGGGGCTGCAATTCTGCATTCCTAACAAACTTCCAGGTGATGGTGATGCTGCTGGCCTAGGGACCAAGCTTTGAGTGGCAGGAGGAGAAGTTCTAGCAATATGGTTCCCAAACTTGGCTGCCCATTGGAATCCCCTGAAGAGCTTCAGAAATTACTGAACCCTAGAACGATGATCAGAGATGTAATTGGTCTGGGAAGAGACCCTGGCCTCCACCCTGATGATTCCAATGTGCATGGCTGGGAGCCCCTGCAATTGAAGCTGCCAGATGAAGCGGAATCTCTCACTGCCTTAGCCTTTCCTACAGGTTATTAGAAATCCTCAAGGTGCATTCTTAAACCTTCCATTGGGTTTCAAAGGAACAAAATATTTTAAATGTGAACACATCTCTTACCCCTAGATAAGGAGGGGGAGAGAGAGAGAGAGAGAGAAAGAGAGAGAGAGAGAGAGATCCTTGGGATAAATGTCTCATTTTGCAAAAAGAAAAGACATGATTTGATTCTGTATATAGCTTATCTAAATGAAAGAAATGTTGCAGAGTTAGCGTTTCTGCGGTGCAAAAGGAAAGCACCTTAAGGAATCGCCACACTGTCTTCCACAATGGTTGAACAGAGTTGAACAATGAGAACAAATGGAGACAGGGAGGGGAACATCGCACACCGGGGCCTGTCCGGGGAGTGGGGGTCAAGAGGAGGGAGAGCACTGGGACAAATACCTAATGCATGTGGGGCTTAAAACCTAGATGTAACAAACCTGCACGTTCTGCAAATGTATACCAGAACTTAAAGTAAAATTTAAATAAATAAATAAATAAAAAGGAAAGCACCATAGACTTGCAGGTGTCTCTGGGTAAGCCAAGTTAGTACATAGAGATGCATCAGGCTCCACTGGTGGGATTGGTAAAGAGATTGAGGATGAAGGGAGCCTAACCTACCAACTCTTTTTTTTTCTTTTGATACAGGGTCTCACTCTGTTGCTCAGGCTGGAGTAAAGTGGTATGATTATACCTGACTGCAAACTCCAACTCCTGGGCTCAAGGGATCCTCCGACCTCAGCCTCTTGAATAGCTGGGACCACAGGCACTTGCCACCATGCCCAGCTATTTTTTTTTTCTTTGTAGAAAAAAAAAGGGATCTAGCTATGTTGCCCAGGCTGGTCTGGAAGTCCTGGCCTCAAGCAGTCCTCCTACCTCAGCCACACAAAGTGCTTGGATAACAGGTTTGAGCCACCGTGCCCAGCCCTGCCAACTCCTAATAGTATGAATAGCATCATTTCTTTGGCATTTGCTAAGAGTTACTGGAATATTTCAGCTACGGGCTTGTATCTCTGATTGGGTTTAAGAGATGGGATTTTCTTCCCCTCTGAACCAGCCACCCACCCACAGCCACATCCCACAACACCTGTTCTCTCTCCCTTAGACTTTCAGTCTTTGACCTTGCTGCATTCTCCTTACTTATCAGCACTCTCCTTTAATAATCTCCTTTCAGCTTAAACTGCATGGTTCATCCACATTCTAGTGCCCATTGCTACCTACCTACTTGCATGACAGCTGCCTGGCAAACACCCATTCTGAGTATATCCAATGTCCCACCTTTGCAGAAGCTGCCCATAGAGTGCTGCATATTTGCTGGACAAGTCAAGCAAACTTTTGGTTTGGTGCAATTCCAATGTATTTTGACAAAGGAATAATTTATGTGTAATAAGATATACAAATCATAAACGTAAAGTATGCCAAATTTTTACAAATGTATGTATTCTTGTGACCACAACCAAGATCAAGATATACAACATTTTCATCACCCAGAAAGTTCCCTTGGGCCCCATCCCAGTGAGCACCTTTCCCCTAGGGGTAACTAGTACTCTGACTTTGATCACCAAAGAGAAATTAGTAATGAATATCAAGGAATGTTTGGTAAAGCTGACTAAGGTACATGTGCTTGTTTGTTACATGGATATTACACGCATAGTGGTGGGGGTTCTGCTTCTAGTGTACCTATCACTGAAATATTGAACATTGTACCCAACAGGTAATTTTTCAACCCTCATTCCTTATCCACCATCTCCCATCCCTGCTTTTAGAGTTCTTAGAGTCTATTCTCTCCATCTTTATGTCCGTGATGACCTTAATATTTAATGGGGTTAGAAGTTTCAAACTTTTGAGACATATGGAAGACTTGGATTGCAACTTTTCTCTTCTATTTTTTGCATAAGGCATACTCTTTTCTTGGCATCTAAGAACAGTCAATTTCTGAAATATGAATTACAGTGCATAGTTACAATACCAACTTTATAGTTTAAAATGTTATTTGACTGCCTACTGGTTTTATTTCCAGATTAACAAGTTTCTTAACATTTATTATGCCTCCAAGAGATAATTTCCACATTTGTAAAGATTGTTTGAAATGTCAGGTAAAACAACAACAACAACAGAAATTTAAATTTAGGACATGCAAAGGTAAATTTTTCTTGGCTAAATTTAAAATAAATATGCCTTGTACTATAAGAGAATGCAATACATTGTGGCCCTTAGCATTGCATATTAGCAATATTTAGAGCATAATTTAATCAGTTGGTTGATTTGGGGAGGTAGTTGCAATTGATATGTAGACTACATGTTTTATTAGTTATTACATTTTTAAATGTCAGAATCTTGAGTAAATGCAATGTAACATTTCCTTTGTTATAGAGAAAGAATTTTCAAGTTGCTTTAAAGGCTAATTATTTCAAAGACCAGTCAACTTATTTTTCCCCAATTTCCATAAATTCTGAGTTTTGAACATCCTTTCTTTAAAAAGCTTTGTTTCTGGAAATATTTTATATTCTGCCCCCCACAGAATATGCTTACATTTCTTTCATTGTATCTCAAAGGGTTTGGAGCTTGTCTTTCTGGGTTTTGACTATCCTTTCTACTCCTGAGAGTTGAAGTTGAGGGTGCTGACAGGGTGTTGTGGTTTTCATATTCTATAGAGAGGCAGCATTTGTAACAGGTAGGTGTGAGCCTTGCTTTCAAACCTCCCACCTGCTAGCTGAGTGACACTGGGAAAATTCCTTGGCCTCTCTGAGCCTCACTTTCTTCCTTCTTATAAAGGGGTAATAATGCCATACCTTGGAGTCATATTATGATTATTATATATTGGAAAAATACTTCTAATCATCTTGGCACACAGCAAGTGTTTAATCCATGGTAGTGACTAGAAACTCTTATTAAACCAATTTACGGACTGATGGCAGTCATTTTATTCGTCAGTTCACAAATTCTTTAAAGTTCAGATCATATGGAGGACAGGGCATGAGGGAGGAAATGATGGATTCTTGTTTATGCCCACAACACCTACTGTTGCCTAAGGTGACCTTACCACCCAGCAAGAACTTGGCCAGTCTGCTTCTCGAATTGCTGTTCCAGAAAAGCTCATTTGCGAACAGTGTTGGGTTGTTTATTTGGGTTGCTTATTCTAGTCAATTGACTTGGCCAACAAACTGCATTTCTTCAGGAGTGGGGAGAACTGTGTTTCATGTCCTCCTCTGTGACAGAACTGCAGACAGTAAACGAAGTGATGCCTGTGGTGCCATATGACTCCCTCCCTCTAAGAAACCACATTCAGCTTTTGGGGAGGCTTATTTCTTTTTTTTTTTTTTTTGGCACAGCCCATGAATCAAATACTAGCAGAGTTTTCCCTCCAAAGATGAGACCTGTGTATCTAGATCAGGGTTCAGCAAACTTTTTCTGTGAAGGGCCTGAGAGTAAGTATTTTACACCTTGCAGGCCATATAGTCTCTCTTGCAACTCAACCCTACCATTGTGGTGCACAAATCCAGCCATACTCTCACCATATGTAAATATTTACAAAAACAGGCAGAGGGCCAGATTTGGCCCATGAGTCACATGGCTTCCTGACTTCTGCTCTAGATCAGTTCTGCTCAATACAAGTAAAATGCAAGCCACGTATTTAATTTTACATTTCCTAGTAGCACATTAAAAACAATTCTTGGCCAGTCCTGGTGGCTCATACCTGTAATCCCAGCACTTCAGGAGGCTGTTGCATGAGATCACTTGAGGCCAGGAGTTTGAGACCACCCTGGGCAACATAATGAGACCTCCTCTCTACATTTTTTTTTTAATTAGCCAGGCATTTTGGCACATGCCTGTATTCCTAGCTACCCAGAATAACTTGAGCCCAGGAGTTTGAAGCTATAGTGAGCTATGATTGCACCACTATACTCCAGCCTGGAAGACAGAGCAAGACCTTGTCTTCAAAAAAAAAAATTTGTAATATATTAAAGCATCTTGATTTTTAAAGATGAAATGTTTTTAAGTCTTAGAATAGAAAGAGACAGATGCCTTACCTTTATGAGTAACCTAAGTTTGCTGAGACCAGCCTAGCCAACATGGTGAAACCCCATCTCCACTAAAAATACAAAACTAACTGGTCATGGTGGTGCATATCTGTAATCCCAGCTACTTGGGAGGCTGAGGCATGAGAATCGCTTGAACCCGGGAGGCAGAGGTTGCAGTGAACAGAGATCACACCATTGCACTCCAGCCTGGGCAACAAAGGTGAAACTCCATCTCAAAACAAACAAACAAAAAAACAGAAATTGGCTTTTTGGATTCCATGTGATTAAGATTATTACATAATTTGTTAAAGAGGGATTTTCTGGTTAGAATCCCTTACCACTACCTCCACTCTGAAATATGTTGCCTGAATTATCTTGTTTTCCAGGGATATGCAATGCTCAAATGTTCACCCAATTAGCCCCAACCACTGTTGTTACCAAATAAAAGGTATATGTAGAGAACTGAAAGAAAATAGATAAAATATCTATTGGTAATAGCGAGTGAAAATATTTATTGAAAATATCTAATGATATTACAAAATCCAAACAAGAGTTACCGTTTCTTCCTATAAGGATCTAAGTAGATCAAATCTGTTTGTTGTGACTATGTTACCTGATGTTTCCAGCTACCTGCCTTAATAAAAACAAGGAAGACAGTTCTTTACCAACAGGGTAAGAATTTAGATAGACAGTTTAAAAGTACATAAGTTCTGAGAGAATCTTTGTTTATACTTCAGTTGTGGAAATATTTAGCTTATTAACCTCCTGAGCTATATTTACCTGAAAGACAAAATGAAACACGTTTGAGGCACACAGAAGATACTGCTTTTGAAAAAGAGATGTGAGGTCCTATTAGGGCAAAGCTGTTAATTACACACTTCATTATTGTCAAGGTTAATACAGTCTGTGAGGGCAGAGGCACTTTTTCATCTCTTTTCGGGGAACAAGGGGAGACAGCTGTTTTCACAGACAGATCCATTATAGCTTATCACCAGCCAACAGCCCATGGAAGGAGCACTATGAAATATGGCCACTGTCACTGGGAGCCTGAATAGATGCTGAGCTGGTCCAGGGTACAATGGAAAGACAATGAGCACCATGGCTTCAAACTCAAATAGATTGGGTTGCATTGATTTTTAATGCCTGGAGGTTCCATGGCATAAAATCCACCAATCCTCTTGCAGTTATTGTATTATTGATCTCTATAAAAGTGCACAATTTTGCTTTAATGAACACCAGAGACGGACAATAATAATTAGTGGTTCTTCTGTTTGGAAGCCTGGTTAAACCGTGTTGGAAAACTCTGCATGTTTGGATTTTCATTATTACTGCTTTGCCACTTATGATTCTATAAAGTGAAACCTGTATCAGCAAAACAAATACTGCCTTGGTTCTGATTTAACAGGTCTTCTTTTCTTATACTTTTTTGGGTGGGGCACTAATTTGTTTTTAACAAACATTTACATTTTGCAACCCCCTGCTTATTAACACTGAGCTAATAGTTTTCATTGAAACGGAAGAGTGTGTGCTTTATTTAAAGTGTGATACATTTATACCATCAACAAACATTTTCAAATGCTAACCATGGAAATGAAATCCAAGAAAAGACTGTCTTAGGACATGCCTTAGTTTCTTTGCCCTTTTGTTTGGTTGGTTGGTTGGCTTTTAGATTTTTCTTTCATTTTTTTACTATTGGGTGATTAAAATTTCTTCTTTCTAAATGTTTGTAACCACATCATATCTTTTGTAGTGTTCGGATTTTGTTCATCAATAACTCTAAGGCTTCTAGCCTTATAGTAAGAGCATGGTGCTAAAGAAGCAGGTGTACCAAAATGGTGAAATAAATGGAAGTCATCGTTTTGGTTAAGCTGGAGAAATGTTTCATCTTCAAAGGGAATGAGAAAATGAACATGTAATTCCCAATGTGTATATATAGTGTAAACGTACTTAGCGCTATGTATGTATATATAGAATACAATACATATAGTACATTTAACACTATATTATAGATAGTTAATAAAATGCATATTTAATACAACTTATATATATGTATGTATATACATATAATGCTGACTCTTCTTATACAGAAAAGCATACCTCAGTCTAACTTTTTTGTTATAAAGGTAACCCTGATTGTAGAAGATCTAGAAAATGCATTAACCCCATTGTATACACAGTGTAACCCTCCGACCATCATCCTCATCACCTGAGAGCTTTTTGGAACTCTAGCATCCCAGGCCCCACCCAGACCTACTGAATCACAGTCTCCCTTTAACAAGATACTTGGGTGATTTGTGTGCACTTTAAAGTTTGAGAAGCACTGGACTGAAATATAAATCACCCCTAGTCTTCCCACCCTGAGATGACAGCCACTATCAAAATTTTACTGTATTTCTATCAACTTTTCTTTTCTATACCTATCTTTCCATTTAAATCTTGAAAGTCTAACTTGGTTAATTTTTCTGACTCATACATTACGTTTTTAAGAAGAATAACTATAGAATGCTGATTGTTAATTTGAAAGTATTCCGCTTTTTAGATCTCAGAAGGAATATTTATGTAACAATTGTAATTAATTTGAGATACATCTGTTTAAATTCAAGAAATATGTATTTTGTATCTAAAGTTACTAATAGTACTTTAAAGTCTCCCACATCAATTATCCCTTTTTTCCCACCATATGAAGCTAGATTTATTTCTTCTAGGTGTTGTTTGTAGCTTCCTTTCTTCTTCATTTATTATCAACCTAATTTAAAAGTAAAATTTACCACTGCAGCCCGCCACCCCGCCCTGGCCAATAGTTAAGTAACTAGCACTTATAAGTACTTTGTATACGTCAGGAATCATGCCAAGTTTTTTACACATATTACTGTATTAAATAATCACATTAACTCTGTGAGGTAAGGATCTAGTCTCAATGTTTTATGGATTAAGAGACAGTGACTTAAAAAGGTTTGATAACACTTAATATTACCTATCTCATAAGTGCTATAAGCCTAAGATACAAAATAATGATAATAAATACTACATTTTTAAACAATGTTTCTTATCAATTGGCAGTCTTTGTCATTTCTTCTAAATAGCATTTAGCTTATAGCAGTATTAATATTTTTCTCGGGATACCTGGTGACAAGTGCACAGAAAGAGCAGGTCCCCAGTTCTGAGGCCACACATTAATTCACATGATGAAATAGTGACCCTCTAATCTCCTATAGAAATGTTAATGAACACACTTGGGAGACAAAAAATCCCTATGAAATTGTATTGATTCCTTTTGTTTATTAATTTCCTAAATATAAGATATTTATAGCACGATTAATGACTGAAAAAGCTCTATTTAATAGGCCTTCATTATGTTGTTCTTAGTAATCTAAAAATATTGATAGGTAGTATAGGCCTAGACACATAGATACTATAGTTCTGTTTTTTATCCATCTATAGATATTTTAGGATAAATAGATGCCTCTTTTTGACATGTAAATTTTATTATTTCAGTATTTCTCAAAAATGAAGTGTTAGTTTAAAGTCTACCCAATCAACTCATTAATCAAATTGGAAGGGTTTTAGTGTAAAAATAGGGAGATTTAAGGGACCTGTAACTTCCAAAGGAGGTGTTCAATAATGCTCTTATCTCAAAGGAATCACACAGGGAATGATTTTTTTTCCTTCTAAATTACCTGTGTCCTAGTGGTGAATTTCTAACACTAACAGTCTACCCCCCATCACAGACATTTGTTAATTTGTGAAGATGAACTAATAGGTTTTTTGGACATAAATTCCAAACAAATAATTGGGATACCAATTTGATATGAGCAGAGAGCCTTTCTTCTGTATTCACAATTTCCATCCTGACCCCAAAGATGGTAGCATCTGAAGGCATACAGATCACCTCTGAGCCTCAGTTGTCCAGTAAATGATGAGCTGGTGATTATCTCTTTTTTCTCTCTCTCTAGTTACATCTATTGCTTCCTCCTAGATGTGCTTCATAGTTCTTTTCTTCCAGAAACTTTCCCTAGACTTTTAGCTTGCTTTTCTCTGATCATTTTTTAAATAATCTTCATGCTTTTCTTAGCCTTCATTGATGAATGTGTAGAAATGTTCTTAATTCATATCATATTTACAAATTTCCGTCCACTGAAGGCAGTGTTTTCGTTGAGGGCATTAGGATGTTTTAAAACTGTTCTCTAGCACCTCCTTCTATCTGCAGCTACAATTCTAGGGGGAAGGGGATCACTAAATACCATCAAGTGATAATATCCCTATTACAAATAAGAGAACAGGTAATGAAATAAAGAATGAAATTAAATCACATAGCAAGTGTGCACTGAAATTGAAATTGGAATCTAGAATTATCCATATTCCGTACATTCAGCAACTAATTTCTGAGAGTGGAGCGCACGATAGAAATATGCACCACAATGACCAATGGCCAATTTGCTGGGTTGTGATGTCACACACCAACGTTGCATTGCTTACTGGTAATATTTTGTTTAGCCTAAAAGAGTCTAAAGCATACCATAGAAAGAGACCTAGACTGGGAGAAAGGAGACTTGGGTTCAAATCCCCTGTTTGTTAAATATTGTTGGCAAAGTCAACTCCAGGTTTCAGGTTTTACTCAGTAAAAAGAAGAGGTGACCTAGACTCTTTCCAAAATTAAGATGCTGGAAGTGATTCCATGGTAGCAGACTGAATATTTTGTGTATTCAGAGATGGGAAGGCATGGGGGGCAGGCAAGAAAGAATAATTGGAATATTGTTTAAGATGGATAGAATTTAAAGAAATAATATTTTTCTAGGATATAGAGCTAAAGGTAACATTGAATATGAAAAAAATCTAATATAGTTAAGCATTGTTTATCAAGTTCAGAGAAAGTCTGGATAAGATAAGATTTTTGCTAAAGGATTATCCGAGTAGATCCAGTGATTCAGAAGGGCCCTTTAAGACCTTGGTGTGCCTTACACTCATTACCCATGTGGCACATCTGTCAACACAAATGCCTGGGATTAAACACACCAGGAAGCTCTTTTGGAGGAACCATGAATTCCTGATGACATTTTGTTTGAGTAACCTGCCTATTGTTCATAAAGAGAGGGAGTAGAAAATGTGCAAGAGTATAATTTCTGTCCAAAAGGAAAAACTTTTAGTTGATACACTGTGATACAAACAAACTGTTTCTGTTTTCTTTTAAAAAACAGTGCAAGACATTATTGAATAGGAAAGGAGGCCAGAAGTTTAAATCCATAGAAGGAAGCAGAACAGATGTCTAAGAGGGCTTGAAGGCCACCCTGAGGAAATAGAGAAGTGGTAAACAAGGCCAGGCGCTGTGGCTCACGCCTGTAATCCCAGCACTTTGGGAGGCCAAGGCGGGTGGATCACGAGGTCAGGAGTTTGAGACCAGCCTGACCAACATGGTGAAACCCTGTCTCTACTAAAAATACAAAAACTAGCCAGGCGTGGTGGTGAGTGCCTGTAATCCCAGCTACTGGGGAGGCTGAGGCAGGAGAATTACTTGAACCCGGGAGGCGGAGGTTGTAGTGAGCCAAGATCATGCCACTACACTCCAGCTTGGGTGACAGAGCAAGACTCTTTCTCAAAAAATAAAATAAAATAAAATAAAATAAGTGGTAAACAGGGAAGATACAACTGAAATGAAATAGGAAGCTGCTGAAAGAGACTTGATATTTTTAAGGCTGAGTTATAGCTGTTTCATCTTTCCTCTGCCAAGGCTGCTCATCTTTTACTCTTCACAGTTATTGTTTCTCCCAAGTTAATCTGTGGGGTGAGGATGGATGTTGTTCCTCTGAGGAAAGGTCCCAGGTTATATACATGATTCTTTCTTTCTCTAAGGGAGGCTCCAACAGAGCATCCCCTACTTTGGCAATCAATCCATCAATTTATGCACCACCCTCAACAATGACTACATTCCATATAATGAATTCCACACTATGGAATAAAAAAGGAATAGGCAAAAAAAAGACTAGGATATTAGTTTATGAACACTGACTATATTATGCTCAGTGAAAGAAGTCAAGCTGAAAGGCTCCAGACTGTATGATTCCATCCATATGATATTCTGGAATAGACAAAACAATAAGGACAGAAAACAGATCAGTGATATCAAGGGTTTGGGGAGAGGGTAATGTTTGACTAGAGGAAACTCAGGAGATATTTTTGCAGCTGGTGGCACTAATTTGTATGGCACTCTAACAGTGAATACATGATGC
Source organism: Homo sapiens (assembly GCF_000001405.40). NCBI lineage: Eukaryota > Metazoa > Chordata > Mammalia > Primates > Hominidae > Homo > Homo sapiens. The sequence goes on along the minus strand of NC_000020.11, from coordinate 9,583,698 downwards.
TTTGCACTTGTCAATACCCATAGAGCTTTGCAGCACAAAGAGTTAATTAATGTACGTAGTTTCAAAAAACAACAAAAAATAAACCAGAAGATCAGAGGATCCTGGGATAGAATGCAGAATGTGACCAAAGAATCCAACAGCTATACATTTATAACATAACCTCATTGAAGGGGGTGCAGGAAAAAAGACACTAACTTAAGGAACTTTGGAAACAGTGCTTTGAATGCAAACTATAAGTGTAAAGGAATTTTAAAGAACTGGACTTAAACATGGTACTTGAGTTGACAAAGTTGTTTCTCATGGTAGAGTGAGTTAATCTGAAACTGCTGAACAGTTATACTAGCACTGAATAGGCAAATGACTGGCAGATGGTGGGGCCCATGTTTTTTACTGTTGCAGAGGAAGTTACAGGTAAGGAAATGGCAAGAATGAATTATGTGGTACTTGATTAGATTCAGAGACATTAATGTGGATTTATGTTTAGGTTAATATAGATACAGATGGATGGATATAATTATAGGTGTGTGAGTGTGTTCATGAGTTAGTCTACAAACATATTATTTCGGAGCTCTGTTTGCTGAGGCCTGGCAATGACACCCAGTAGCAATGAGTATTCCTGGAACCAAATCTTAATTTCTAATACTATTAGCGTTCCTTGGAGAAATGCCTGATTTGGGGGGAAGGGCAGGGAAAATAAAAGATAAACCTGGAGCTTCTTGTAGGGACAGAAAGTAAGGAAGTGCTCAAAAAATAAAAGGAAGAGGGATCATCAAAGGGACACAGCAGCCAGCCTGAGAGAACTCCCAGTGACAAAAGCTGGAACCATTTGAGCAACAAGGCAAATAACAGAGTGTTGGCTTATAACCCAAAGTATAAAATAAATAACCATAAGTCCATCCATCCTTATATATAAATAAATGATTGAATGAGTAGGTAAATGGGAGCAAATAAGCAAGTCTCCTGTGCAGAAGAATTCCAACTACTTTATATAGATACCCTACCCCCACCACACACACACACCCAAGAAGATAAAGCTTAAATCCCTGACCCTTGAGTAGACGCTACACTTACTGACTTGTTCCCAAAGAATACAATATACAGAAAGCTAGGGAAGGGGAGTGTGACTGTGTGTATAAGAAACCTGGAAAATATGACCTCACCCAGGTAGTCAGGGCTAACATCATCATTCCTAAGTCGTGTCGACGATATGTACCCTAAACATTATGCGATGAAATGTGACTTGACTCTCTGATCTTCCTCCTCAAACCAAATAACCTCTGTTTAAACATGGGAAAAACACCAGAAAACCCCAATGGAGGAACATTCTCCAAAATACCTCACCAGTACTCCTCAAAACTGTCAAGGTCATCAAAAAATAAGGAAAATCTGAGAAACTGTCACAGATCAGAGGAAACTCGGAAGATATAACAAATAAATGTAATGAACTATCCTGGATGGGACTCTAGAACCCTAGGAGAAAATTAATGAAATCTATAGGAACATGGAGTTTCCTTAATAGCAATGCAAGATATTAACTCAAGGGGAAACTGGATGAGAAGTCTATGAGAACTCTGTATTCTCTTTGCAACTTCTCTGTTAATCTAAAACTATTCTAGAATAAAAATTTTATTTGAAAGAAAAGGGTATAGTACAAAACTATTAGTCCAGGACTCTTGGAAAGAAAAAAAATAAACCCTTTGTTTCACCATGGATAGATCTATAAAACATCAGCTCCAGGACAACTTTGACTTCTTCCTCCAGTTTGAAATCTTCTATTGTACCATCCAAGATAGTTTTGAACTCCTTGCTACTTGCTCAAAAGTATTTTTCTCCTAAAATCCTGGAAGTCTGAAGTCACAACACTTTGTTCTTTGTTCTTTTATCCACCCCCATCATATTTGCCTGCAAATCCTGTCATTGTCAAGGCACGGCTGACGGGCTTTGTAAGTGGTTTGCGATGTCTTTCAGTTCCTGGTATTCTTGTGTTATTTAGGTTCATTAAAGGGAACAATTTGTCACTAAGATCCAGGTGCAACCATCATTACTAAGCCATCCAAAATTCAGCGGTGATGTTACACAGAAGTGTGGCCATAACAAACAAGCAGTATAGTATAAGTATATATACTTAATAAGAATATCACATTTGATCATAAATCACACAAATAATCTTCAGTCTGTTTCCTAATTACAGTTTCAGGAAGTGCCTGCCTCATCCATAAAATTTCATAACCTCAGTTATTATGTCTTCCATATAAGGGCAAAAAATGTACACCCATTTCTAGTTATGTTAATAGTTGGGTGATAATGCCTTCTGGTTTTGAAAATCATCTGAATAATGAATGTAAAACAGTAATAAATATTATTTTTTATTACCAAACAGTTATAGAGTGTTAAATTATAATTATCAGCTCATCATTAGGTGGTTAGGGCTTATTATTTAGGTAGAAGAAGTAGGGGGAAGGGATTTGCCTGTAAACTGGTAAATAAAACAGTTATATTCTATGTAGTCTCCTACATGGCTTTTTGATGGTTATTTGATGTCTCTGTTGAGATAGGTAAGAAGAAAAATGCAATTTGAGATTGTTTACTATTTGATTTATTTCACCACTGAAGTCAATCAACACATTTTCTTTATCATTTTGTGTTAAGTGTTCCCGGGGTCTTTTTTCTTCTGTAGTTTAATTTGGATGGAGTGGGGGTGGGATGCCACCATCAATTTAAATCCATGAAATATTTTCTTTAAACAATATTCCCTCTATTATTCCCAGACAATCGTTAGAGGAAACAAACCCTGCAAGGAAACCTCCATCAACGGCCTGCTAGAGGATTTTGACAACATCTCGGTGACTCGCTCCAACTCCCTAAGGAAAGAAAGCCCACCCACCCCAGATCAGGGAGCCTCCAGCCACGGTCCAGGCCACGCGGAAGAAAATGGCTTCATCACCTTCTCCCAGTATTCCAGCGAATCCGATACTACTGCTGACTACACGACCGAAAAGTACAGGGAGAAGAGTCTCTATGGAGATGATCTGGATCCGTATTATAGAGGCAGCCACGCAGCCAAGCAAAATGGGCACGTAATGAAAATGAAGCACGGGGAGGCCTACTATTCTGAGGTGAAGCCTTTGAAATCCGATTTTGCCAGATTTTCTGCCGATTATCACTCACATTTGGACTCACTGAGCAAACCAAGTGAATACAGTGACCTCAAGTGGGAGTATCAGAGAGCCTCGAGTAGCTCCCCTCTGGATTATTCATTCCAATTCACACCTTCTAGAACTGCAGGGACCAGCGGGTGCTCCAAGGAGAGCCTGGCGTACAGTGAAAGTGAATGGGGACCCAGCCTGGATGACTATGACAGGAGGCCAAAGTCTTCGTACCTGAATCAGACAAGCCCTCAGCCCACCATGCGGCAGAGGTCCAGGTCAGGCTCGGGACTCCAGGAACCGATGATGCCATTTGGAGCAAGTGCATTTAAAACCCATCCCCAAGGACACTCCTACAACTCCTACACCTACCCTCGCTTGTCCGAGCCCACAATGTGCATTCCAAAGGTAACGTTTGCTACCTCCTTTCCCTCACGTGTGCAAAAACCTCCACAGGGGTGGTGCTGGCACGACCTTTTTATACGATTGGATTGTAAAGTACTTGTTTGCCTTTTAAGGGAAAATCAATATCAAAACCCACCCTATCTCCACTTGTGAGGCCCCAGGGCAGAGGTTTAGGATAAGGCATATATATTCATTAAAATAAAAATCTATCTTTTGGGCCCTCCTACGTGGTTTCTCATTAAAAGGCGAATAAACTTATTGATTTGAAAGATAGAATTCTGATATATGAGTGATAAATATGATGTGACTGTATTTGACTAAGTTCCCTGTTAAGGAGTGGATCAGTCATATACAATCATAGAGCATTAGATCGAGCCATCCAGTGGTTCCTACATCCTGGCAAAGTTTGCATAGACCTGCTAAAAAGGAAAGAAACTCAGTATAACATGGTAATTTTTAAATAAAGCCAATTTTGTTCAACTCAGGGGATGGCCCTTCATATTAAGAGTATGTACTTTCTACTATATTTGATTTGAAATATTGGTTTTTATATGAAATTTGGGGGTGACAGATGGTTGCTGGACCGCTGGACCATTTTTGTCCCCTTTTCACTTTGTTTTGTAGTAATTCCTCTTTTAAATTTTGTTTAAATGTTAGCAGCTCCAAGTTTGCTTTGAAATTTGACTGGTCTATGATATCCTAAAGTTTGGGAATCACTGCCGGAGAAGTTACTGAAACTAAAAGCACAGGCAAAGGTCTATGGGTCCGAAGGTCTAAAGTCTTGGAAAATACCTTTGAGAATGTGCAAGTGATTTATTTTTCCCTGTCATTTAGAAATGTTTTTGCTACCTTACCTGTCCAGCAAAAGAACATGGACCGTAGGGTGTGGAATGTGGATTACATAGAGGTCTTGAAGCAGGTGAGAGGGACATGACTTCTCACAGGGCAGTCATGTACTTTATTTATACCAAACTCTTGACAGTTTGGTGAGCAGCACAGAAAACTCTGGAACCCAAGCCTGCCTGCATTCACCTGATTTATTGATTATAGATAGTCGATATTTTTCCTTTGCTTCTTATTTCTCATTAACCTCATCCAAGATGTTGAAGAGAAGCCATTTAAGTGTATTGTTGGAGTTACTTCAGCCATTCTTTAGAAGAAACAAAAAAGCTGTCACCTTAGTTCCCAGGATATAAAATTAAAAACAAATCTTGATAAATAGAGGCCTGAGATATGTTCCTCCAGTTAAAATTCACATAGTGACAGTGTTTTTTTTTTATCTCGTGGTATTAATGTACTTGAACACCCACACTCAGGATATCATGACTGCTTTCTCTTCCTGTGTGCTTGCCAGGGTGACTGTTGGAAAGAGGTCTAATTAACCACAAGCAAAATCTACTTGAACTCATACGCATGTCTCATGATACATGAGATAGTTTATTCCATTTCTTGTGCATATCACTTGTGCATTTCTGTGAGTGATATGAAATAAATAAGTTAACATGTTCTATAGCTGAATTGAGTTACATCCTGAGGCTTTGAATATCAGTGGTTATTTTTTTATCTAAGATTTTGTGTGCGTGTGGCTTATTTGCATATTTGTGTTAGGGAGTTGTTTGGGGTCATAGTTACAGAGAAAACATTGCCCAGATGATGCTGCATTTTGGTCCTGGAGCCTTATTTGGCTCTTCCTGGATGTTGGAAATGAATATTGGGTGGGCTACACATGTCTATAGTCCAAATAGTTTTAGAGGTCAAGAGTTTTAGAACTCTTAATTCTGGAGTTTCAGTCTTCTCTCTTTTTTATTTTTATTTTTTTAAAAAGGATGAACTGGTATCCCTGAGTCCACATTTTCACATAGCATGGGCTTTTGGGATTTAATGTCACCACCAGCAATCCCTGCACACTCATTTCCTAGAAGGGGAAACTGAGGCCCAGAGAGCCACATGACACACTTACAGTTTCATAATTAGTTGGTTGCAAAACAAGGACAAGAACTCAAGTCTGGTGTTTCTCCCTGCTCAATATTTTCCTATTATTTGGGCGTATGTTATCTCGGGGACTCAACTGCATTTGCCAAGAAAATCCATGAGAAGTCCCAGTGGCCACCAGAACTTTCGTCTAAGTGACAGAAGAACGAGGGTGGGAGGGGTGATTCACTTTAATTCCCTACAGGCTCCCTCTATTCTGCAGACTTCCAAATATAAGACAAAGCAGACCTGCCCTGAAATCTGGCTCTGCCAGCCCAGAAACAATGCACAAACTATTGTGGCTCACCACCACCAACAACAACAACAAAAACAGCATAATCACTCATGGGAACTTCTACCAAGGGTGTTCAGCCCTTACGATCAGAAATACAAAGAAGCAAGCTGCTGCTCCATGTTTCACAGGAAACTCGTGAGAGATTCATGAGCAGGTTTTTGTTTTGTGGGAGGATAAGAGGTGGGAGGCAGGTTAGTAATTAAAACGTTCACTTGATTAAAAATACAACATTTCTCTGAAAAGACGGAGGTGCCTGTGTCTTTAGAACGGTACTCTTAGAGTGTACCAATCACATTTGGATTTCCAGCTGAGGGAAGAAATAGCGGTCACGACTCAGATGAGTCGGCCTTGCTTGCAGAGACTCCTAAAGGAGGCTGGGTCATGTTTTCATCTCCAGTAATAAAAGGAAGCACAAAACTTGTGTAGGTCTCCAGATGAAGCAGAAATGAGGAGGGTCATGTGTGTGTACACATGTGTGTGTGTACACACGTGTGTGTGTTTGACACAGTTTTACATTTTGTCCTAAAGAAAAAAAAAGATTAATGTTAACCCACAGAAAAAAAAAATCCTTCAATGTTATCTACCTACTTAATTTCCCTGCTAGCAGGACAGGAATCAAGAATGTTATGAGTTTGTTGATGTTGGCCTCCTCTCCCTACATTTAAGTGTATTTTGCTGGAACTAAGCAGATGAAACCCTGGGGTTGGGAGGGTGGGAAGCAAAGCCAAACAAAAACCATATAGCACCATACCCACCACAAAATTATGAAAACTGCCAGATGTGGAGAGAGAATGCTTTCCACCCTCGCCTGCAGACAAATCTGCCTTCCACGGAAGGAAGCTAGCTGGAGAAATTGCCGCCATGTATTTGACTTTGCTGATTCCTGTGCTCTCCAGAGACCAGGCAGCCACCTACTTGTGTCTTTGTATTGGCCCAGCACATCCGTTCCCTACTGAGAAGCCCCCAGCATAACAATCCCACCAGTTCATTAAGCATTTGCTGTGTACCAGATACATGCCATGTTTTGTTGAGCCTCACAGATCTGTAAGGCAAGAATTCTTGACCCCTTTGTACAGATGAGGAAATGGGTTTTAAGAGGCTTAGTATGCTCACAGCAGAGCTGGGATCCAACTCTTTGGGCTTAAGCCTTTTACCAGACATTGCATGCATTTCCAGTAGCACAGGGGCAGCTTCTGTGGGTGCAAAGCCTGCAACCTGCCTGATTATAAGCTCCTTTTAATACCTGAAGCAATGAAGTTGCATTAGCAGTTAATTAGCAATTAATTTCACAACTAGGTTGCATCATCCCCTTTCACTCTGTAGCAGGGTCCACCACCTTGACACTATGAACATTTTGGACCTAGTAATTCTTCATTGTGGGAGGCTGTCCTGTGCATCATAGGGTGTTTAGCAGCATCCATGGCCGTTCCCCTCTAGACGTCCATAGCATCCCTCCCTCACTCCTAACAACCAAAATATACCCAGACACTGCCAAATGTCCTGCAGGCAGAAGAGGGCAAACTTGGCCCAGTTAAGGACAACTGTTCAATAGCTATCATTTATCAAGCACGTTTTGGCAGTTAAAGATATAGATTTTGGAGATAAACTGCCTGGGTTTGAGTCTTGACATTGCCACTTATTAACTGGGTGAACAAGTTGCTTAACTGTGCCTCCACTTCTTTATGTACAAAATAAGGATAAAGACAGCCCGTGTCTCATTATATAGTATGAGGGTTAAGTAAGTTAATAAATTACAGCAGCTTAATTACTAATATGAGTAATCTACACATCAGTCTACATGTGGAGCATGTAGATGAATGGTGGCAGTGAGGTGAGGGTTACTGTGTTCCAAGCACTGTGCTAAGCATTTTGCAAACATGACTCAACTTAATCTTTGCAATTCCAGAAGAATTCAGGATCACCTCTGCTCTACAGTTGAGGAAGCTGAGACTCCAAATCTTTATGGACTTCCCCAAGTTTATAAAGGCAAATAACTGAGTCAGGATTCCAAACTAGGTCCCACTGACTCCAAAGTCTATGTGTTCCAGAATATTCTCATTTCCGTAGAAGAAAATCCAGGGGCAGAAAGGTGGACATGAAGTCTCCAGGCCCAGACACAAATCCTAGAGGTAGCCTCACCTTGCTGGTGAAGAATGGGTGGTGACTGACAGGTGGATTTGCTGTGCCCATGGAATGCTGTTTATTCTTCCTGTTCTTCCATCATGTAGGATGGAATCCTTGAGAAGTTCCTTAATGTCACCCAGAGTGTAAACCGTGGGTAAAAGCTGGAACTATGGGCTGTAAAGGAAGTGTTAGGTGCAGAAATCCCTAAGGTGCTCATATGCATTTATTTGACCTTAAGTGGTAGTCTTGTTTGATTTTTTAAAAGATAATCCAGATTTTCTCACCCATTACAGAAAAATGCAAGTTCTATAATCAGATTCCCTGGATTCAAGCGCTTAGTAGCTGTATGATCTTCTCTGTGCATCAGTTTCATCATCTCTAAAGTGTTTCAGTACCTACTTTGAACTGGGCATGGTGGCACACAACTGTAGCCCTAGCTACTGGGGAGGCCAAGACAATCCTTTGAGCCCAGGAGTTCAAGGTTGCAGTGAGTTATAATTACACTACTACACTCCAGCCTAGGCAACAGAGTGAGACCCTGTCTAAAAAAACAAAACAAAACAAAAAGGATGGGAAGAAAAGGATGGTGTGATTTCCCGGCACTTCCTTCTGGGGTCAACAGTTCAATGTGTTTTCACTGCTTAGCTATCACTTTGCTTTCCCTGGAAGGAAAAAGCACTTGAACCAGTGGGCCCAGTCTTCCCGCATCAATAATTTACTGATTCACTGTTCTTTGTGGTACTTGTCATGCCCAGATTCAACCATGGCTCCAACAACAGAACAGCAACTTCTTTTCTACTGAGGATCCCTGCAGAACTCGGTTCAGAGATCCATTCAGGGTTTAATGGGTTATGGAATGACAGTGCTAGTGAAAACTGATGGGCTGCACTAAAAATCTGAGGGGGAAAGAGAGAAGCACTTGATCACTTAATATAACAATGGATATATTTAGATTTGTTTTCTTTACCTACAGGGTCTTCATTAAGGCTCATAAAACATCCAAGGACTGACTGAGTGCACTATCTCTAACGTCTGTCCCTTCTGATGGAGACTTTAGGTGTCCTTTGCATATGAATGGACACTTCTTCCCATGAATGCTCTTGTGATTCAAAATAAATTGTATTTTGGTCATTATGAATGGGTTTTCCCATTACCAAATTAAAAACAAAATGAATTTAACCTGGCATTGTCCGTTCCTAGCTCTCTCAGAGGCCCTGACATATTTGAACAATATTCTGAGGCTGCAAACCAGTCCCCAAAGACGAAGAGTCCCTCCACATCACTGCAGGCGATGACGGATCGCAGGTCAGACCAATCTGCTCTGTCTCACTGCTCTTGAATAGAAGACACATTCTTTGAGTTTGAAGCAGCAACTGTGGGGGGTTAATTGGATATGCCAATTCAGAGGTGGAGGAAGAGCCTGGAATACCCGTATGCCTGACCCTGCACATCTCAGATTTATTCATTGCTTCATATAGCTAGGCTTTGCTAGTTTGTAGGGTCATGAGCCACTTGTCCAACTCTCAGTGTGCATTTGCAGGGCACAACCAGAGAGACAGACGAGTTATAGGGTTCAATGAGTCCCATTCCCCTAATTGCCAGTCTCTATCCTGTCCCTACAGAGAATGCAAGTTAATGATTCTCTCCAGAATTCTTACAAGCAGTCGTTTTCCCTTCCCAAAGCCAAGCCTGGTCCTGTTAAATTTTCCTTTGAGTCAAGTGAGGACAATTTAAGATGTCCTTTCCATGCTCAGATAATAGAGGTACTGTGATTCACTTTTATCTTGCATTTGATTTATGGAGAGTAAGCAGCACCCAGCCTGGCGTTTTCATTTTCGAGATGAGCAGTCTTTGTTTTATTGTGCTCTGAAAAGGTGTATTGGAGCATCACATTCAGGCACTGGAACCAGCTGCCGCCCACTCCCTGTAACTCGCCATCCTTCACGGAACATTCCGAGTCCTCATTCTGTGGGTACAGACCCACACTGTGGCTGTGTCCACACACCCCAGTCGAGCACGCTCCAGCCACGGCCCCCCTGCCCTCAGAACAGAAGGCCACAGTGCCAAATAGATGCTCCTGCAGTACTGTTTTTTCCTTCTCTTCTTTCTCTCACCCTCCCCTAACCAAGCTTTCTTCCCCCCAAGACTTGGCATAAAATGGTCAAATTATGTTCTACTGCAGAATTCAATTTCACAGTTCAGTTAGGTCCTTGATTACACTGCCAAATTCAGATTAATGTGCATTTAACTAACATGGATCAGGGGAATTCTGGCTGACAACCAGCTGTAATCGGAGCAATTGATAGCTGTGTGGAGTTTTATGCCCCGTCCACCCCAGCGTAGCTCTGGTGAAATTGATTGATTAAGTGAATTCATAGCTATAATTATTTATAATTTTGATACATCACAAGCCTGTGTCTGACCCTATCTTTAGAGATGTTGAGCTCATTGTAGAAAGGTAGTCCGGCTGAGTTGTTAACTGGGGATTATTTATTCCCTTATATAATATATTCTTTTTTGCTCTTTTTCTTTTTTGATCATGTTTGAATAGAGACATGACAAAGCACATTTTTTAAAGAATTAATTTATATGGTATACAAAAAAGTGTCAGGAAGCTAAAAAACAAGTGTATGTTATTAGCCATTTCAAAAAAAAAAAAGAGGAAATCACAATCATGACTGCTTGTTCATTTTGTCAATATTTCTAAAGATTCCTGTAGAGAGAATTCCTTCTTAAAATGTATCCAATTTTCAATGACAATTAATGACCTGGTAACCCTGCAGCTAAGCAGTTTAGCAGCCTGGGTGATAATTTGCAAGACAATTGACCTGGTCTTCTCTCATGACATCATGCCATATGGAAATCCCCCTGAAAACTTTGCAGACCATGGTCTCCTTTGTAAGGAGTTACTCGTTCACAAAATCACAGCACTGTTCTCTTTGGAGGGATGGGAAGAATGCCTTTGTTGTTTTTTCTCTTACATTGCAGTTTCCCACCCTTGCTCTGCACTCCGTGCCCTTGCTGTAAGGTCTGCAAGGGTAAACTATGTACATAAATCTTTTGGAAATGGTTTGGATCATGGGTGATGAGAGATATGCTGGATTTGCTTATTAAATATCATTCCTGTCACTAGTCCCATTCCACTGCATTGTGTTTTCACTAAATAATCAGATCCCAAATCCCTTTCACAATACCAAAGATAGGTCTGCTTTTATGAACTTCAAGCCTACTCATTTTTTTTCTAGAATGTATTTGTAAATCAGGTCATAGAAAAGATTGCACAGTTTAAGCTGGACTGCTTTGCACATCTTTCTCACATGCATGAACATGTGTGTGTAAAACAGTAGGAATGGACAAATTCATCATTTATGTTTTCTGCCTTCCAAATATAGGCTATCATGAGAAAGACAACTTAGAATGGAACACTTACATGACTATGAAAGTCCAAGAGCTATGTGAGGAGGTCTCATCGCAGAAGAAAGTTTGCACTTTCTTCCTTGAAAGAACTTACAGAAGAAAGCCTGAGTGATGTTGTAACAATGCAGAGTTCTGCTTTGACCAAAACAAAAAGGAAAATGATGAATGATGTACATAGATAATCAACTCGTTTTGCTGTGATGACTACTCTTTTTTTTAGCTCATTTCTCTAAGCCAAAACTGCTCAAAACAAACAAGCCAAAAAAAAAAAAAAAACCCTTAATTTGTCTTTCACCCCCTCTCCTAGACATTATCATCCATCATGTTCTGGTCCAATTCTTGCATTTTGCCCCAGGCTGCCCAAACATCTGGGCCCCCAGTGAAACACCCTGACCAGGCTTTATCTCTGTGGTTATCATCATTGCCCACTCTGCCCGCCCCTGTTAAGACCACATCCCCCCCCCCCATCATTCATGCCTATCTCTGTGAATTTTTCAAGGACCCAAGTACTGAAGCGACTCTGTCTGGATTTGAATCCCATTTCTCCCTTCTTTTAGCTTTGGGATCTTTGCATGACCTACTTAAACCCACTGTGCCTCAGTCTTCTTATCTATAAAATGGAGGAATTACAGAGCTTATTTAATTGTCCAGCTTGAGGTTTACGTGCAAGAATATACACAGTGTGCTTAGAACAGTCCCTGGCATGTAGAAAGCACTCAATAAGTATCAAACATCATTATTCTTATAAATCAATGAATGTTGGAAATGCCAAGGCAGGCAAGGGAGCCGGCCTGTGGGCCAGTGTGCTGGGCGCCCTCCCACTGGGAGTGAAGGACTGACCCCGGCAGAAGAACTAGGTTATGTCGTCCCCTTGGAAGTATGGAGCTATTTGCCCTGCATTGCTTGGGGGCAGTTTCGTCTCCTTGTGCCTCTATTTTATCAACCACAAAATGGGATTCAGTTGCCCCCTGCTTGATTCCCAGAATAAAAAGAACAAGACCTGTTGAAAGTGTGTGGGCTGGTGATACGCACCATCATGGAACCCCGCATGTGGGTTAAGATCCAACAGAAGGCAATGGTTCAGCACCTTGGTGGCCCCAAATGGGGTCACCCATGCATTTCTCCTTCACAGAGTCAGCTATTTGTCCTCTGAGGGAAGACTACATGTCCCCTCACTTGAAGTGAACAGTTCATTCTCTGATGAGTATGCCTTGAGTTTCATTCAAAACATTGTCTCTTGTGATACTAGTTGTTCCTCAACCATTGCTTAAGAGTCTGTACCTCTTACCAGCAGCCGTGAAAGACAACAGCACCTTTTTGTCTCATGGCCTATTTTGAAGATGGTTAGCTTTCAGCAAAGAGCTCTGCATTCCATCTTTGCCTGGAAATTGTCCCCTTGGTGCAGGCAGGCTTCTTCTTTATGTCATATGCCAGCTGTTAAGGGTGGATTCTGATAATGCTGCTGACAGGTGATAAGGAAGAAAAGTGGCCTAAATTAGTGCAAAGCGGTGTTTGTGATTCCTGCAGGATGCAGCTTTCCCATTTTTAATATATCTTCAGAGATCAGTTATACATGCTTGTGGGGAATGAATTCAATTTCGTTGAAAGTACAGGAGCCAGTCCTCCAAGGAAGACACAGGGTGATAATGGCAAGTGATGGCTCCCAGGACACACTTTCAGAAATAAAAGCCAAAACACTATTTCCCTTCACACCCTGGCCTTGCTGACTAGCCTAGACTTGACTAATCTGGAGCTTATTGAAGGAAGAATCCAGTTGTTTAACTTACACTGACACTTCTCTCTCCCCATTCCATCGTAGTTTAACTTACACTGACACTTCTCTCTCCCCATTCCATCATACACACACACTCACACACACACGTTTTCCTTGTGTAGCACAAATACAGAGGCTTTGAAAAGAATCAGCTTGGTTTTGAATATTTTAACTATACATTGTTCAATATATTAATGTTAACTACATCTTGTCTTATTGCTTTGAGTATTAATATATAGGAATATATATACCACAGGGGCATTGTATGTCTTCAATAAATGCTAGCTAGTTTGATAATATTGCAGTTACTATTTATTTTATTTTGCATTCTCATTACTGTGCTAAGCATTTTATATAATAATAACACCAAGTAGAACTTACTGGCCAGTCATTGTTTGAATACTTTGATATGTATTTGATCCTTTAGAGTTCAGTGACCAAAGGAAGTAAGTATTATTATTGTTCCATTTTACGGATAAGGAAACAGACTCACAGAGGCTGATTTGACTAAAATTATCAGAGTCAGAAGGAAACTAAGACTCAGAGAGGTTGACTTGACTAAAATTATCAGTCAGAATTCATTCCTATGCCCGTCAAAAGCATGTGTTCTCTCTGCAACCAGGGCAGGAGGGCAGCTTAGCAGCTACCCTGGTTCCTGCTGGTTGATGCCAAGGCTGTCTGAGTGGTGAATTCACCTAGTAAAGTGTAGTGTTTTTGAAGCTGGAAGGGCTGCATTGCTGAATGTTCAGCAGGCCAGGCACTGTCATTGTAGAACCAATGGGCAGTGTTGGGGGACTGAGAATGGTGCTATGGTAGCAATTTTAAAGAGCCCACTGTGTGCAGTTATTGCTCCATGATGTGATAGAATGACTACCTTCTTATGCATCGTGGTGGGGCAGGAGCTTGAAACACCTGCTTGCCTCTACCATGTCACCAGATCCAATGAGCAACATGCCCCATCCCACTTCTCAGTGGCATTTGACAGGATTCATTAGCCCTTCCTTCTTGAAATACTTTCCTCCCTTGGCTCCAGGACACCTTGCTTCCTTAGTTTCCTTTCTACAGCACTTGTCACTCCTTCTCTGCTCCCTTTTGCAAGATCCCTCTGCTCTTTCTGGTATCTAGACGTTGGGGTCCTCAGACCATCTCTTACACATTCAGTATCATGGCTTTTAATATGAACTAAGCACCGATGACTCTCAGATTCATGTCTTTAGCTTTAACTCTTCCCTGGACTTGGGGCATGCCTAAGTCTCCTAAGTGACACCTCCACATGGATGTCTAATCACTCTCCCAAACTTTACATGGCTAAAAGAACTCTTAATTTTCCACCATGTATTAGCTATCAATATTGCTGCATAACAAATTATCCCAAAACTTCATGGCTTAAAACAAACTGCCTCATGAAGCAAAAAATAGTGCTGTTCAACTAATTTCCCCTAAACTTTAAATAACAAACATTTACTATTTCACAGTTTCTGTAGGTCACAAATTGAGAGGGCTTAGCTGATTGATTGGTTCTGTCTTGGAATCTCTCATGAGGTTGCAGTCAAGGTTTCAAACAGGAACACAGTCATCTGAAGGATCAACTGGACCTGGAGGATCCACCTCCAGAATGGCTCACATGGCTGTTTGCCAGAAGGCCTCAATTTCTAGCTAGCTCTTAGCAGGAGTCCTCAGTTTCTTGCTGCATGGACCTCTCTATTTTATTATTATTATTATTTTTATTATTTCTGAGACAAGGTTTCACTCTGTCATCCAGGCTGGAGTGCAGTGGTGCAATCATAGCTCACTGCAGCCTTGAGCTCCTGGGCTCAAGTGATCCTTCAGCTTTAGCCTCCCAAAGCTCTGGCATTACAGGCATGAGCCACTGCACCCAACCCTTCCAAAGGATTCTTGAGTGTCCTCATGACATGGCAGCTGGTGAAAGCCAAAATAAATGATGTAAGAAAGCAAAGGAACTTGCCATCATCTCTGCCTTTTTCTTTGATCACACAGATTGATCCCAATACAGTGTAGAAGGGGACTACATAGGAATATGAATGTCAGGAGGCACAGGTCATTGAGAGCAATTTGGAAGCTGATTATCACACCCCACAAGCCCTGTTCCTGCCCCTGGATTCCTCATCTCATTAAATGGCCTGTTGCTTAGGCCAAAATCCTGATAGCCATCTTTGATTCCTGTCTTTCAAGATCTCACCCAATCCATCAGCAAATCCTGTCAGCTCCATCTTCAAATCCTGCCCTAGATTTCACCATTTCTCACCCCATCTACAATAACCACCCTAATCTCAGCCCACATTAACTGTGATAAGCTGCTGGCATCCCTGTTTCCACTCTTGCCACCAAAGTCTCTCCTCCAGCAGCCAGAGAGTCAGACTGTGTCATTCCTGTCTGCTTAGCAACCCCCAGTGCTTCCCACCTCACTCGGAGCAAAAGCCAACGTCTTTGCCAAGGTCTTCATGATCTGTCCCCCGGCAGCTTCTCGGCCCATCTTCCTTAGTGGACACACTCCACTATAGCTGAGCGTCTGCTCTTCCTCACAAACTAAGCCTGGATCTGCCTCAGAATCCTGCATGTGCCACTCCCACTGCCCAAACCACCCCTCCTAGGAAAGGGATCTTGCTTTTTCCCTCACTCAGCCAGGCTTCTGCTCCAACGGAACCCCCTCAGAGAGTCCTTCTGTGACTACCCTATCCAAGATGGCATCTCATTACTTTCAACCCCCTCACTCTGCTTTATTTTTCTTAATATTATTCATTACTACTGAAACACACACTGTATATTTACTGGTTTTCTTTATTATTATCTATTTCCTTCTCTGGAGCATAAACCCCAGGAGGGCAGAGATATCATTCATTTTGACTGTTGGTGGACCCTCCCCCTCACACCTAAAACAGTGCATAGCACATCATAGTTGCTCAAATATTAATTTTTGAAATAAATGAATGAATGTGCTGCATGGGAACAATCAATTCATCTAGAATAGTGCCATCCAATAGCCCTTTCTGCAATGAGGAAAATGTTTTATATGTGTACTGTGTGATGTGGTAACTACTGAGTTCTTAAAATGTGACTAGTGTGATTGAGAAACTGAATTTTTAATTTTTAATCTATTTTTGTTTATTTTAAATAGGCACGTGTAGCTTGTAGCTACTATATTAGAATAGATCTAGGTCCTTGGGGTGGATGGTAGGGGAGTGGGATAAGTTAATGCCATTCCATTTACACCCAGTAGAGTGATAGAGACTTTCTGGGGCACTGCATTAAGAAAGAGCCTCAAGTCCAATCAACAGATCTTTTCTGAGTACCTTCTATGTATCCAGCACTGTGTTGTCATCGAGATCTTCCAAAACAGAGTGCATTGATGGATTAGCACTTTCTGCCCTGGGCTAGGAGCATACCACATGACAAGATGTGGTATCTTTACCATCCTGGCCTCAGCAATTCCAGGAGTGGCCAGAGCTCCTTCCTGATTCTTTCCAGGAAGTGACTGCTGGACCTACATATTGTATCATATACCAGTAATCCCCTCACTGGCTTCCCCATTCTCCTCCAATAAATCCCCTCATCCCACTCTTCCAAGTCAGAGTGGATGTTCTTTGCTGGGATCTCTTTCGGGTCTAGCATCATTTTCATTTCACACATACCCCTGCAAAGTCTGATCACTCTCAATTATATTTGTACTTATTTGGTGAGAACATTGCACATGTTCACCCTGTGGTTCACACCACTTAGCACAGGGAGACGTATTTTCCCCTGTACCTACATCTGCTGTGTTATACCTGTGTTATACATATATGTCCATACCACCCTCTAGTATGTGAATTCAGAAGCATGGGAAAAGGCCTCCTACCCCTGAAATGTCTCCCAAAAATGCTAGCTGAAAACTAATGTCCTTTAATGAGGGATGGGGTTTTTCATTACTGAACAAGAAAATAGGGCTTAACAAGCAAGTACACCTTAGATATGACACACGTGAAGTAACCTCCTGCTGTGGTGCACGTGCACCACAGAAGGCCCTTCCCTAGGTGTGGCCGGTCCTGTTGGTGCCCCAGCCAGATCCTCTCATCTCCCACTGGTGATCCTCATTCTGCCAGCTGTCAGTCAGCTCACTCACCACTCGGCTGTGGCATTCAGATCCAGCATGTGAATATTCTCTATCCATGTCTGTCTTCCCAGGTGGATTACGATCGAGCACAGATGGTCCTCAGCCCTCCACTGTCAGGGTCTGACACCTACCCCAGGGGCCCTGCCAAACTACCTCAAAGTCAAAGCAAATCGGGCTATTCCTCAAGCAGTCACCAGTACCCGTCTGGGTACCACAAAGCCACCTTGTACCATCACCCCTCCCTGCAGAGCAGTTCGCAGTACATCTCCACGGCTTCCTACCTGAGCTCCCTCAGCCTCTCATCCAGCACCTACCCGCCGCCCAGCTGGGGCTCCTCCTCCGACCAGCAGCCCTCCAGGGTGTCCCATGAACAGTTTCGGGCGGCCCTGCAGCTGGTGGTCAGCCCAGGAGACCCCAGGGAATACTTGGCCAACTTTATCAAAATCGGGGAAGGCTCAACCGGCATCGTATGCATCGCCACCGAGAAACACACAGGGAAACAAGTTGCAGTGAAGAAAATGGACCTCCGGAAGCAACAGAGACGAGAACTGCTTTTCAATGAGGTAAAGAGTGTGTTTGGGTCATCCTTTCTCTCCTTTGTAACATTTATTTCCCATTTCAAAAGTTATACACATGTACATTTTAGGACATTAGAAAAGCACTGAAAATATAAAGACAAAAATAGCGTCCCCTGTAATATTTCCTTCTAGTCTTTTTTCTATGCACATATATGGCTGTTACATCTATAAAGTACTTCATGTGTATCAGCCACTGTACTAAGCATTAATCTAGCTTGATCCTCACAACAACTCTGTGAGATAGAAAGATGTTATCACCATTTTTACAAGGAAACCTGGACTCAGGTTAAGAGATCCGGCTCAGGGTCAAGCAGGTTGACTGTAGAGCTAGGATCTGAATCTCTGTCTAGCAGATTCTAACTCTTATGCTACACTGTATCTACATGAGTATGTATATATTTTACACTACTATGATATCATAATATACCCTCCATAAACAATTTTTAAAACAGTAGACCAGGGTCAGTTTACCAATGGACTATCACCCTTTAGGAACTTTAAAATATTTTTCCTAACTATAAAAATAATGAATTCTTCCTGTAGAATACATGGAAAGTAAAGAAAATGTCCCACAGATATCCCAGTCAAGGAATAGCCTACATTAATATTTCAGTGTTTCCTTTCTATATTTTTCTGTTTACAAATTTCTTTTGTTTGAGATAATTATATATGTAGTTTGGTAACTCTCTAAATTTCAATTAATATTAACATGAATACTAATAAAATTAATATCATAAAATATATTGACCTGTATTACTTATATTTATTAATGTAAAGTAGATTTAATGACCATTTTAATGGCCTTATAATCTTCTATCATATACATGTATCAAATTTATTAAACCAGTCACTGATTTAATAAATTTGAGGTAACTTTAGATGTATGTGGTTCTGTGACTTTCTAAATTTCACCTAATGTTAACATTAATACTAATAAAATTAATATTAAATAAAATATATCAGCATACATTACTTATTTTTATTAATGTAAAATAAAATATATTAACGTATTCTATTAGCTACATGTCAAAACACAATTTTAATGGCTTAATAATCTTTTATCGTATACATGTATCATATTTAAAACCAGTTTCTGATTTATACTGTTTCCAATTTGTCACTTTTATTATTTTGCAGTGAGTGTTGTTACACATAAGTCTTTGGCTTCATATCTGATAATTTATTAGATTCCTAGAAGTAGGATGAACAGATCAAATGATATGTACTTTTTTTAGATAAATGATATACAGTGTTAATTTCTAGAAAGTTTGTACCAATCTAGACCCTCACCAATAGTATTGTTTCACCTTCACTAGCGTCATTGAGACTGTCATGTTATCTCTGTTCATCTGCTAGATATGAATAAACCTTACTGTTTTCATTAGCACTTTTATTACTAGTGTAGCTAAATTGAATTTTATGTGGTTATAGGCCATTTTTATTTCTTCACTAAATCATATGTTCTGTACACAGTTTTCAATTAGGGTGCTAGCATTTGTTTTATTGATGTGTAGGAGCTATTGATATGTTAAGGAATTAACCCTTCTCTGTATATTTGTTGTACTTTAATGTTTACCTTCCACTTTCTCATTTACCTTTTAAACTTATCACTTAAGAGCTCTAAAATAGGTGGGGAAACATGAGTAATTATGTTAGAAAACACATAAAGTATTTTGGAGTAATATTCTTTTAGTAATTTTATGAGAGCATTGAGGGGAAAGATAAGTTTTTGTGGATGAGAGATCTAAGTCCTAAAATATCAAGTCAGGGTATCAGTGTTAGATGTTAGTCTCCAGGAAAGCATGTACAATCCACATCTTCTAACTCCCAGAACAATCTACGGCTGCTTGACCTCTTTGTCTTTCTATTGTAAGGACTCCCATTCTCTGAGAAGTAAGAAGGTGTTTGGTCCATAAACAGGCACTGTACAAATGCACTCAGCTGCAATTTTGAACTCTGTTTATCATGGAGGCTCATATGAAGCCCCCAGTGGCCTCCACACATCTCCAGCTCCCACGGGTGCTTATTTCTTACACACGCTCCAAATCTCACAGAGAGTTCCAGGTGACTGGGCTTCAGCATCTTTCCAGTCCACCATTCCTGGTTTCTGGAATTTATTTTCCAAACCACAATGCCAGAACACACAGAGCAATATGATGTAGATAAATAATTCTGTAGTTTATTATTTAACACTAGCTCTGAAAACTCGAGTGGAAACAGCCACAGGGCAGCAATTTCTGGAAGCTCTCTCCAGCAAGCAGGCTCCTTAGCCTTTTTAATTTCTATGCCATACTTATTTTTATCTTCAATATATATTCTTTCAATTCAGCCCAAATATCTCTGAAGTTCAACCCATACCTACTTCCAAGGAGAAGTTAAGTTGGTCTTGTGTGGCTCCAGTTCTAATAATAGATAGTTTACTTCATTCACTTGTGGGACTCATTCCCTCAATTACTACGAGTTGGTGACCCTTTGCTAGGATAACCAGCAGAGGACTGTGAACAGTGCATTCTAAAGGAGACCCTTAGAGATATCTGATCATATCCCCAAAGATGGTCAACCAAACTCCCTCTTGTGAATGCAAATCTTGCTTTGGTTCTACTTGTTTTCATTTTCTCTCTGTGTCTCTCCAATGTCAGAGTGACCTGCCATTTTCTCTCAAATTTGCTACCTTGATTCCTTTTATTTCTACTAGCTACCCTTGATGCTTTTTGTCTGTAATAGATTTTCTGAATAAACTTCCCCACAATCAGTACCTCTCAATCAGTTTACTTACAATTGTAGTTGTGGCCACAAGAGAACAAAAAGCAACTTCATCTTCACAAGTCAAAAGTATATTTCCCGTTTCCCCAGGTCGTGATCATGCGGGATTACCACCATGACAATGTGGTTGACATGTACAGCAGCTACCTTGTCGGCGATGAGCTCTGGGTGGTCATGGAGTTTCTAGAAGGTGGTGCCTTGACAGACATTGTGACTCACACCAGGTAGGCTTCTTTATTATCCAGAGAATTCGAGGTGCTTCTTATTCTTCTCCAGGATAAAGCCGCAGTGACTATGAACTCTTCATAAATTGCAGGCACTTTGGAGTCAGGGAATATGACTACCCTTTCCCCTACATTCCCCAGAGGGCCCATTATGCTCTCAGGCATGTATAGTTCATTCATTTGGTGAATGTTCTCCCTGCCCTCAGAAGGACATTAATACCCATTGATTTAAAATAAGCAACCTGCTAAGAATGAAGCTTCAGTGACAAATAATAGAATGTCCTGTCGCCTATATAGATTTCTAAAGCTGAATTTCATTCTCCTGAGTTACTCTACCATTGCTGCATGCTAAGACACCAAGGATACCAGGGGAAGGAAGGGACAGGGAGAGGATCACTTGAAGTTTTGTATCAAAATAATGAATCTGGGTGGCACAGAGAAATTCTGCAATTCTGTTTTAAAATATGCTTGCAAGTAACGATGGTTAATTACCAGCCTATTGCTTCAGCTATTTGCCTCCCTGATGTGCCAGTTCCAGCCATTTCATTAAGTATTTATTGAGCACCTTTTATGTGCCAGGCTGTTTTGTAAGTGGTAGAGATGCAGAAGATACAAATGAATGTGGCTCAGATATATCCCCTCAGGGACATCACTGATGAGAAATACATTATAATACCTGTGCAGAATTAAGAAGATATATATATGTAGCATAGAAGAATACCTAAATGTCTCTCTCAGAAAGAGTCAATAAATATTTCTATTTAATATAAGGTGACATCTGAGATGGATTTTGAGAGCGAATAGGAGTTCACTAAGAAGGCAAGTAGGAGGAAAAGGGCATTGAAGGCAGAGGAAAGAATATGTGCTAGGACAGTGCCTCTTCAATTTCAGTGTCCACATAAATCACTGTGGATCTTATCAAAATGCATATCCTGACTCAATAGAGAGGGTGTAAGATTCTGCATTTACGGCAAACTTTCAGGCAATGGCAATGCTGCTGGTTCATGGACCATACTTGGAGAAGCAAGGTTCTGTGGAATAGACATACAAAATAGCATGTTACATTTGGGAAACTTTAACTTTGGTTTTGATGGTAAATAAAATGCCAAAAAGTTAAGGAAGGATTGTCATGAGGAAGAGGTATTGAGTGTTAGCTGATGTTATTGAAATGGTACCTGAATCAAAAGTGGATCCAGGTACATAATTGGTGGAAAACAAGGTAACAAGAAAGTACTGGGAAACCCTGTGAAGTATAAAACATGCTGTTTTTTCTCCACTGAAATGAGATGTTACGTGGCTCTACAGTTCTCGGTCTGGAGTAGGCTATCTCAAAATAAAGCTTTGTGAGTGAAGACATTTATCACCAACAATTCAGCTGGCAGACTCTTGATGTTGTAGCAATAAGACATGCCCAACAAAAAAACACATAAGATCATCTTAATTGGTAGAAACAAATATACTGGAAAGATCTAAGCATAAGGCAAATGTGATATACATTTTTTGCTTTTCACATATAAAGCAAAAAATAAAAATATATTCAGGGGAGAAACCTTTTTGTTGCCTTCCAGAGCTTCATACAGCCACTCAGGTCTCCAGCTCTACCTTTGTCAAGGTTCCTTTCCATTCTTATTTTGTATCCATGGAAACCACTCAAGACAGTCTGTCCCTAAAATCCATTTTCTTTTCTAATTTTCTCATCCAGGATTGTCAACTGATTTCCCTTTTAAAGACCCAGTAACTCCAGAGGCAAAACAAAATTGTGTGTCAAGGAACACCATGAATACTTGGTATTCGAAATCTTAAACTCAGAATTCAGAGAGCTTCCTTTAATAGATATTGAATAACTGCTTTACTGAATGATTTATTGATCGGTTGATAAAACATCTAACCCCTTGCAACTCCAAGTGCTGTCTGAGGACCTGGGAGCTTGTTAGAAATGCAGAATCTCAGGTACTACCCCAGACCAACTAAATGAGAATCCATGCTGTACCCAAATACTCAGGTATTTCTTATACATACTGAAGTGTTAGCATTAACTTAACATCTTGTTACGTCAGATCCTTCTAATTTCCAGGAAACAGAGGGTTATAGAAGGGAAGGGAAAGTGCCAAGCACCATCAAGCTCTTCATATGTTAATCATGTAACCATCACATATTTCTATGAGGCAGATGCTGATGTACCTGTCTGCCAGGTGATGAAGCTACAATTCAAACAGGAAAAATATTATTGGCCAGGCATGGTGGCTTATGCCTGTAATCTCAATACTTTGGGAGACCAAGGCAGGAGGATCACGTGAGCACAGGAGTTCGAGACCGGCCTGGGCAACTTAGCGAGACCCTGTCTCTATTAAAAAAATTTAAAAATTAGCTGAGTGTGGTGGCATGTCCCTGTAGTCCTAGCTACTCGAGAGGCTAAGACAGGAGGATCACTTGAGCCCAGAAGTTCAAGGCTGCAGTGAGCTCTGATTGCGCCGTTACACTCCAGCCTGGGCAACAGAGCAAGACTCTATCTCAAAATTTTAAAAGGTATCCTTCTTAAGACCACACATTTAATAACTGATACAGCCAGGATTTGAATTTGAGGTTACTCTAGAACTGAAGGGTTTTTTATTCCATGCCAAGCTTTTTTCCTATAGGAAAGAAGTAGAAGAAGAAATGCACCAACGATTCTCCAGCTGGCCATGCTAATTTCAAAGACACTGGATTAGGAAGTATTTGTCACGTGTTCCAGTCAAATAGGATCTTTCTGTTAGTGACTAGCGGTTAGATTCAAGTAATTTTTGATATAGTCGACCTGTAAAGAATCTTTATACCTCTTTCAGATAACTCAAATTTCACGGAATTCAAGAGAAAATAATTTTATTAAAGATGGTGGTTCTTGGTTCTGAATTAATTTGAAGGTATATGTGAGCTTGTCCCTGCTGCATATACTGTAAACCTCTGAGGAATGTGTTTTTCCACATGTGAAAATGGTCGTGTGAAAACCATTCAGGATAATGACCAACATACCACAAAACCCAGAACACAGAAGTTGTAGGCTTCCTCTGTTTCAGGCAAAAACATTTCTTGTCACCTGCCTTTGTATGAGACTGGTGCTGTGGAATCCTCTTTTGCTTTCTTTTTTTTTTTGAAACAGAGCCTCACTCTGTCGCCTAGCTGGAATGCAGAGGCGCTATCTCCGCTCACTGCAACCTCTGCCTCCCAGGTTCAAGCAATTCTCGTGTTTCAACCTCCTGAGTAGCTGGAATTACGAGCGCCGGCCACCATGCCCAGCTAATTTTTTGTATATTTAGTAGAGACAGGGTTTCACCATGTTGGCCAGGCTGGTCTCGAACTCCTGACCTCAGGCAATCCTCCCACCTTGGCCTCCCAAAGGCCAAATCCTCCTTGAGGGGAAGGGTGTGTTTCTTCATACTCATCAACTTTATACCTTTGGTATTCTCCTAATTGGCTACCACTTTATACCTTACTTTTGAATCCCATCAGGATTTTCTAGCATCAACTAAACTGAAATGAAAATTCAAAGCCATTCATTTCCTTATTCTGCTGACCTTAGATTTACCTGGGATTACTGGAGTTTCACAAGTTTGTCCTTAAATTTGGGCTCTGGTCATTTACACCCTCTGTCTCTCCTGACAGTCTCCTCTGTTTGGATGATAGTTCGCTTTAGGACCTCTTTTACATTTATTATTTAACATGGGATAGGGAAGAAGTTTTGCACATAGATGAGTTAGGCAGCTGCCTAAATGAGTCATTTTGAGGGCACTGAACAACCTGTGCCATCCAAATAATTCTCACCTAGATTCCTCTGTGGCTGAACTATTTCACTCATTAGGAAAATCCATTCATTCAAGTGGTGAGGGCAGTGTGGGAAAATGGGAAAGTGGGAAAGTCGGAAAGCGTGCGTTCTGGACTAAAAAAGAGGTGGGGTTTGAATCATGACCTGGCCATTTCTTAGCTGCGCAACCTTGGGCAGTTAGCTGACTTCCCCCTCCCCCTCTAAAACTGTGGAGAAGGAAAAACTTTCTCCACAGGGGTGCAGTCATGAGATATGGGAGGCCATAACCAATGCTTTGCTTCGTTTCTCATTCCCATGGTCCATTTATTAAAATACTATCCATTCACACTCTGTTATTAGTAACTTCCTAGGTCCAATTTCCTTTTGAGAGAAGGGACCTGAAGCGACAAAAACCTCTAGCTCCTTGGAGGAAGAAGAGAGAGGGTGAATGGGAAGTAGGGTGGGTCCCAGAGGGAGGATTAGAGATGCAAAGACCACTTTGCCTGAGCTCAGCCTTGAAAACTGTGGCTGTCCCCATTTCTAAGATGAAGAAAATAAGACCCAAGGAAGTTAAAGGATTTTCTTATGATCATTTAACAGCCACGCCTGAAACCTTCATCTACCTATTCAGTGTGCTGACTCTGTGGGACCCTGGAGGCTTGTTGATGCCTATGGAATTATCTGTTAAGAGTTCATGGAGCCCCGCACAGTGGCTCCTGTCTGTAATCCCAGCACTTTGGGAGGCTGAGGCGGGTGGATCACCTGAGGTCAGGAGTAGTTCAAGACCAGGCTGGCCAATATGGTGAAACCCTATCTCTATTAAAAATACAAAAATTAGCCGGGCATAATGATGGGCGCCTGTAGTCCCAGCTACGTGGGAGGCTGAGGCAGAGAGAATCACTTGGACCCAGGAGGTGGTGGTTGCAGTGAGCCGAGATTGTGCCACTGCACTCTAGCCTAAGTGACAGAGCAAGACACCATCTCAAAAAAAAAGGAAGACTGCACTCCAGCCTGGGTGACAGAGCGGGACTCCATCTCAAAGAATGAATGAATGAATGAATGAATGAATAAATAAATAAATAAATAAATAAATAAATAAATAAATGAGTTCCTGGAAGTGCATTTGCATGAATGACCAAAAAGCTGACAAATAGTGATCTCTTTCCTTTGACTTATATTTGGTCCCTGTCATTCTTAGTGCCAAGCCTTTTTTCTGGGAGTCAGATCCCAAAGACTTCCTTCCCTTGTCTGCAGGTTTTTCAGATATGGGCTGGAGCACGTGGACTGTTTCACTAAAGCACAAGGGAGCTGCCTCTCTTGAGCATTTCAAAGATGTTCTTAAACCTGTCTTGTTCCTTAAATGTTATTTCCTTTCCAGAATGAATGAAGAACAGATAGCTACTGTCTGCCTGTCAGTTCTGAGAGCTCTCTCCTACCTTCATAACCAAGGAGTGATTCACAGGGACATAAAAAGTGACTCCATCCTCCTGACAAGCGATGGCCGGGTAAGATGTTCATGTTTGGCCCGTTCGTAGTTTTTCTTGTCACTCTGTCTGTCATGGGCATAACTCTTTTAGAAACACTTTTTTATAACTCTAATTTTTCTTAGTCACAAGTCACCTACTTCTCTTCCCAGAACACTTACAAAAAAGAAATTACCATCCCTTCCTCTGTGTCACCTTGTTAGTCAGAATTGCCTGACTTTGATGGATAATTTGCCTCCTTAACAATGAGTATAGGAAGTAATAGAAACTATGGCTATTTCTTTTCCTTTTCTGCCACATCTGTTTTTTGTTGGAGGAGAAGAGCTGACTCTTCTAGGGGTGCATCCAACCTATTCACATGAATACATGTGTCCACATTACCTTCCAGAGCCCGTGCAGGTAACAGATGATCAACTCCACTTGGGTAATTTGAGGATGGTGTAATAAAGGACAGTTTACAAAAGCGTGGGCAGATGTAGAAAAATCATAAGGAATAGTGTATGAGGATTAGTGCAGTACTTTATAATGGAACATTACTCCTACTACCCCATGCCTGAAGTGGTGAGGCAAGGTCCTGGCTACTAGAATCTGGAAATGGAGATTGCTATAGATTTCGGAGCTGCCTGGAGGGTGCTCTGATCTTTGGTAGAAGCCAAACCAAGGTGAACCTGCAGGATGAGAGCTGAGAGAATAAATCCTCCAACCTCACTCTTCTTCCTTCTAGTGTCCTACTGGTGCTCCCTATTGGCTGAAATCAGCTAGGAGCCAAAATGCAGTCAATATAGGTTGGTTTCCTAAGGCTTGGAGGAGGGAGGAAAATGGATCCAGTAGGACAAACAGAGGATATTTATCACACTGGCAAACCTCTAGGCCCAGATTTCCGTATTTCACATCACTGCAACCTGTGCAAGGGATTCTGCTGAAACTCATCAGCCACACCAGGGCACAGAGCATGGAATATAACAGCCAAGGAAATAACCAGTTGACATTCCAAGGAAGGCTTAGTTAAATGGAAGAGTTTCAAAGCATAGCTCTATACCATTAGGCTCTCCGGAGCCCCCTGAAACTCCCACCAGAGGCAATGGCCTTGGCATGAATGGAGCCAACCATTCCCTTGATGTTCCTGTCTTTTACACCTGCAACCCCTGCCACATGGAAAATGTTCATGTCATATCAGAAATTGCCCAGGAATGATCAGAGGGCAGCCAGAAGAAACTGTCCAAGCACTTTGGCTTTTCTTTCTTGTTGTTTTAAAAAGATTGTAAATATTATTGTAGAAAATGTAGTAAACTCAGAAAAGTATAGAGGATAAGACAAAGATCACTCCTAATCCCATTACCGATTTTTCCCGTATTTCCATGTACATGTATACACAATTTGCAAACTTGGGAATGTGTTTAATGAGGAGTTTTAAGTCCTGCTTTTTGCATTGCTTTAACCATTGCATTGCTTCTCTTAAGAAAGAACGGTACAGTAGAAGCATGTATCAGTCAGGTTTTGCTACATCCACTCAACAGTTAGTGGCTTAAAACAACCACCATTTATTTGCTGACTTATCTCTGAGCCAGTATTTGTGCTGACTCCTCTGGGACAACTCATCTCTGTACCAGCTCATCTCTGCATCATGTGACATCAGCTGAGCTCCCTCTTGCAGTTGTGATCAGCCTATGGTGATAGCCTTACTCATTTGCTTGGCAGTCAGCTGGCTCTCAGCAGGGACAGTGCAGGTAACAGGGCCAAGTATCACTCATCTCCGAGTCACCTGGACTTACTCACATGATACCTGTAGCAAAGTTCCCAAGAGCACCAAAGGAGGCAAGCCCTGATGTGTAGGCCCTTTCAAATCCTGTGCTTATATTATATTTACTAAATATTCAAGACCAGACTCAAGGAGTAGGGATATAAACTCTGCCTCTTGATAGGAGAAGATGCCAAGTCACATTGCAAAGGGATGTGGATACAGGTAGAAGAAGACTGTGTATGCATTTTTTCTTAATCTTCCATATGAGTGGACAGCTATGAGAAAAGGTCAAGAATCCTCCCTGGCCTGACTCCGGAAAGCACCTACGCAAGGCTCCACGGTGTCAGAATGCAATTTGCAAAGCATTAAACTGGTCTAGCAGAGCAATTTCAAGAAAGACTTTCTTTCCCTGTTTCTAGAAATTTATGGTACAGGCTTCCTTGCTGTAAGATCATATCCAGTATCAAAATCAGAAATGAGACTAAGAAGTCATTGTTTAATCAAATTACTTAAAGATCTCCCCTCCCCTCAATGTGCAAGATTTTTAAATCATTGAGTTGTCATTCTCAAGAGCAGAACCTTTGTCTCAAACACCTCCTGCATCCCTGTGCACCCTGTAAAGAGCTCACATAAATAGACACATTGTAGATGCTTTTAGTCCTTATTGGTTTGTTCTCTCATTCATTTACTGAACATTTGCTGAATGTCTGCTACGTGTAACAGACAGTTCTAAATCCTAGGGATGAACAAAGCAAAATCACTTCCTCTAGTAAGCTTATTTGGGGACTGGGAATGTGATAATAAACAAATAGATAAATAAACAAACAAAATCCCCACCAAACAAGGGGTGATAAATACTAAGTTTCCTAGGATTAATTTAGGCATGGTAAGGAGAATGGGGAGTGATGGAAGTGATGGGTACTGTCTTATGGAGGCTGGTCAGAAGATCCCTCTGATGTGGTGGCGTTACAGCAGAGACATGGGGGACTGGACCCTGTGGCTGCCAGAAACAGGAGCATTCCAGGCAGAGGAAGCAAGAGCATATTGAGTGGATCTTGTGCCTCTTGGCCATTTTGTCCAGAGTTTACTCATTCATGTTCAGAACAGTGCATCATATTGACTCCAGTGGTTTCTCCAGTATCTGTAGGAAAAGGAAACTTTTCTTTTAAAAGAGAGCAGAAATGGAGTGTGGCTACTCCAAGAAAAGGCTTAGAGTGTGTTATTATATGAGTCTATTAGTGTACAACATTATATAGTGGAGAAGACTTTTTCAATTATCTATTGCTGTTATAACGAAGCATCTCAACATTTAGAGTCTTAAGTCAACAGTCATTTTAGTATTGTCTCTTATAGCTCAGCAAAACAGTGCTGCTCTGACTTGTGGTTAGATAATGCCTGGGGCCAGAGTTATCTGGAAGTCATCCTCACTCACATGTCAGGTAGTCAGTCCAGGCAGGCTAGCTGGAGCTGCCACCAGATCACCTACAAAATAGGTGGCCTCCCCATGTGGCTTGAGCTTCCTCATGGCATGGCAACTGGGTCCCAAGAGTGCGTCCCAAGAAAACGAGGTGGAAGTGCATGGCATTTTTATAACCTAGCCTCAGAATCAAATAACATTACTTTCACCATGGTCACAAGCCCTTCCAGATTCAGGGGGCAGGGGTTTAGAGTCCTCCTCAGTGTGAGAAAAATTAAGTCATATTGTAAGAAGAGCTCATGGGATAGGCAAAATTATTGTTGGCATTTTTGGAAAATACTGTCTGCCACACAAGAGATATTGGGTTCTCTTCCTGTTTGAAGATGTTCAACATCATTGGCCTTTGAGAAATGCACATTAAAACTACAATGAGCTATCACTGCACACATTTAAGAATGACTAAAATGAAAAATAGTGATAACAACACTTATTCATACACTGCTCATAGGAACTTAAAATGGCACAGCCACTCAAGAAAATACTTTGGCAGTTCTTTTTCAAAATTAAAAATGGACTTACCATACGACCATCACTTGCACTCTGAGGCATTTATCCAGAGAAATGGAAACTTATTTTCCCACAGAAACATGTACACAAATGTTTATAGCAGTTTTCTTTATAATAGTTCCAAAGTGGAAACTACCTAAATGTCCTTCAAAGGGCGAATGATTAAACAAATAGTATTAATATATCCATGTCATGGAATACCACTTAACAATAAAAACAAACAATTGATACACACGAGAACTTGGGTGAACCTCAGGGAAGTTATACTGAGTGAGAAAACACCAATCTCAAAAGGATACACACTATATGATTCCATATATTTATATATATACACACACACACACACTCATGAAATAACATAATTATAGAAATGCACAGCAGATGAGTGGTTGGCAGGGTTTTGGGGCTGTGGGAATGTGTCTGTAAAGAACAGCACCAGGAAGTCCTGTGCTGATGGTACAGTTGGGTATCTTGATTTTGGTGGTGGTTATAATAGGTTGGTGCAAAAGTAATTGCCATTACTTTTAGTGGCAAAAACCACAATGACTTTTGCACTGTTCTACACAGTCTCCCAGACTTCTTCAGCAGGATCAAGCTCTAGTTGCCCACCGTAGTAACTCACCGGGTAACTAGCCTTCCCTTGGTTAGCTGACTAGTTGGCAACACATGATACAATTTCAGAGTATACTTATATACACTACACACACAATGAGTTCATTTGTAACTGATGAAATTTGAATACGTTCTATAAATTAGACCTAATCAATTTACAAGTGTTGATATTGTACTGTAGCCGTGTAAGATGCGAATACTAGGGAGAGACGGGTGCACGTTGCAACTTCCTGTGGATTTATCATTATTTAAAAATTAAAAAGTTGGCAGGGCGTGGTGGCTCACATCTGTAATCTCAGCACTTTGGGAGGCTGAGACAAGAGGATTGCTTGAGCCCAGTAGTTCAAGACCAACCTGGGAAACATATTGAAGTCCCATCTCATCTCTACCAGAAAACTAAAAAATTAGCTGGATATGGTGGCATTTGTCTGTAGTCCTAGCACCCTGGAGGCTGAGGCAGGAGGACTGCTTGGGCCCTAGAGTTTAAGGCTGCAGTGAGCCAAGATCATACCACTACACTCCAGCCTGAGTGATAAAGTGAGACCCTGTCGCCAAAAAAAAAAAAAACTAAAAAATTTTAAAAATTTTTTAAAGTTAGGAAAAATGACCGAGAATTGCTCAGGTTTGAAAGAATGAATGCTTTCTGTCCTCTCAAAAGACTAGATAAATTATCTTTTATCAACTAAAAGTAAATCATTCAATTATTATCTATGGCATAAGTAATATCTAACGAGTCACTAATTTGTGTTAAGAAGGGAGAATGTGGTGTTTGGGATTTGAAAGAGGAAAATAAATAGTATCTCACAGAGTGGCTTAGGAATGAATAATGTAATGTGTGTAAAACCTTCAGAAGTATACCAGGGACAAGGTAGATGCTAAGTCAGAAGGCATTTCCTCTGCCCTTGTAATTAAGTGTTGTGTAGAATCATCATGACCTTTCCTTGGCCTAGGGCCAACATTTGATAAATGAATTACTTAGGGGCCAGTGAGCAGTGAGTGACTGACTTTGACAAATTCATTGGCCGGAATTCAAACCCATGACCCGCTAAGTCCAATAAGTTTATGGAAAAGAGACACACACAAGTGGTCTTTGTGATCTCTTTTTCTTTTTACTATAAATTGATTGCCACAAATCAAAACTTGGAAGATGTCATATAAAATGTCAGATTCCTGTCT
This sequence comes from Homo sapiens, assembly GCF_000001405.40. Taxonomy (NCBI): domain Eukaryota; kingdom Metazoa; phylum Chordata; class Mammalia; order Primates; family Hominidae; genus Homo; species Homo sapiens. The sequence continues at coordinate 9,552,115 of NC_000020.11, read as the reverse complement.
TCCTTGAAAAATCAAAGGGTCTGGCAACACTGTGCCTGGATTCACACATCATGATAAGGGAAGTGGTATAAGGAGGGTGAGTTGTACCACAGCAAATGCCGTTGGTGCCCTGCCCAGATCTTCCTGCAACTTCCTATTTCAGTGATCATTAGTTTCACCTCCAAATGCCACCATCTGCATCTTTATGCCTGAAGACTTCTTTTTCTGGCCACTGTTATCTGCTTTTTCCATAACGTTCTCTAACTTTACTGAGCATCAGAACCCACTGGAAAGCTTGACAAGAAACAGATTCCTGGGCCCCAACCCCAGAGATTCTGGTTCACTCAGGCTACGTGGTACCCAGGAAGCTGCATTTCTAACAGGCTCTCAGGTGAGGCTGATGCTACATACATTGTACACTGAGTGCCATTGCCTTACAAAGAAGCACCCAGAAACTAGGCACACAAGTAGCCCCCTTTTGCATTAGCCAAGACCCTAGAGCAGACACAGAATTCTTTAGAGTGCATGCAGTTTACAGAGCAAGGGTTTTTACATTCTATCTTTAAACCTGTAGCTGCCCTGTGGATAGACTCTCTTTTGCCCACTCTCACTAGCCCCCAACCCTCCACCATTCTTTTGTGGGAACCCTGATTCCTGGCCAGGACACGTGAGAGATGGATAGGATCTCATGTTTAAATTGCAGCTTTGTCTGAGTTCTAAACTAAAGTTCCTTGTGTGGTCCTTGTGTAACAAGCTACATTTTCTCCTTTTAGGGGGCGGACAACATACTAGTGGTAGTTCTCTTAGCCTAACTGCATTAGTGAGACGAAGGTGGTTTCCTAAGCAGCCCAGTTGCACAATTCTACCCAAAGTAAGGCTCAGCTTAGCGTCTATGTGATTTGCTTTTAAGATCTGCCTACAGTGCTTTATTGTACTCATTACTTGAGTTCTCATTATCTACTTGCAGATTTATTTGGACAAATGTTGTGTGCAATTATGTTCTTTTAGAAAATTGTCCCTTTTATGTACTTGGATGATTAAAGTATCATGCAAAAGCACTTATACTCCTACAGCAGCAGAACAGGCCTCACTTCCAAGTGTCGAGTTTCAATTGCTCATCTCACATTTTGTCAGGGAGATGGTTATTAGGATGCCAGATTTTGAGGGGTTTGGGCATTTTTCCTGCCAGCAAAGAGAAACCCACACTAGATATACTGAAATTTAAAACTGCCAATAGCAAAATGCTGATACATTCACCTCCTTAACCATTCAGGTTTCTTAAATTTATAGGCAAACAAAACTGGAACGTTTGTTCCTCCTCTACTCTCTGTGTATTGGGGTTGCAAATTTACTTACACCCTAGTTTTGGAAATAAACACACACACACACACACACACACACACACCACAATTATGGTTTCTATGCTTCCTAAAACTAACCCAGACTTCTTCACAGAGTCCTACTGGCTAGATTCTTTTTAAAAATATCTATTTTAATTCAATGCATTAAATTTAGTTGGCTTGAATGATTTGAACATTGTCTATCAAAGTCAACTACATTATTATGAGGTATAAATGATACCTTTATAAACCCAGTCTTTCAGATTTAACCACCACCTACTCCCTCCTCTCCTCTCCACCTTCACTTATTCCCAAGATGGAGTGTGGGAGGAAAGACAAGCATGGCTCGTGGGACCTCAGGGTGAAGGAGATAAGAAGCATCTTCTTGTTCCTTTCTCCTCCCTGCCTTGCTTTCATTGGACTCTCCTGCTACCTGGACTGGTGACCAGGTAGCAAGATTGACTGGTCCTACTGGTGGCTGGGCTGTCCAGGGGCTCACCTCTGCTGTACATCACAGTTGCAGCCTCTTCACTCACGGGTGAAAAGGTGCCCTACAGGCTGCCTCCTTGTCCCAATCACAGGCTTGTGCCAGACCCTTCCCCATTCCCTCACTGAGATTTGGAGGAACTTCCGAACCCCTGCACATCCCACACAGGCCATGGAAGACAGTAGCATTGCCACAAGCTCACTTCCACCCACACTATAGCGCCGTGTCTCCATGGAGTACATTTTACATGCTGGTGTAAAACGAAACAGTATCTGAGACAGGTGTCAATCAATTTAGAAGTTTATTTTACCAAGGTTAAGGACATGTCCAGAAGAAGAAGAAATGAAAAACATGGATTCATAGAAACTGTCTGTGGTCTGTGCCTTTCTCCAAAGGTTAGTTTGAGGGAAAGGGGAAAAGTGAGCTGGAGGGGAAAGAGGGAGGGTATGGTCATCCACTTGTTGCAAGAGAAAAGGAGCAGGTAGGAGAACTGTCAATTATGTATTGATCTCATGCTCAGCAAATCGGCACTTTACAGAATATGATGTGAACATAGAGTCACTACCTATGGAGGTATTTACCTATGACCTGTAGCTGTCTAATTAGGAACAAAACAGAAGGTAGCTTCTTGCAGGACTCAGCGTTTAGTTCAATTTTTCCTCTTGGCAGAATGAATTGGCGTCCTGAGTTTTTATTTTCCTTTCACACGGGGTATGGCCAAGGCTGGTGTTCAATCAGTTTTACCAGCATGTCTACACCTGTTTTTAAAATATTGCAAGATTTTCATGCTAGTTGGTTGAGAGCCACTGCTTTAAGTCCTTAGGCTATCCCCCATCACTCCAGCCCCTTCCCAAGACCCTCCTCACCTCATTAAAAATGGTAATCCTTCCCAGGGTAACTCTAGGACTTTGCTTGACTTTCTATCTAGGTTCCAATTGGCCTACGTTAATCTGGTTATTGAATATTTTGAATATTACCTCTGAACACATGCTTGTGGGGCTTCTCCTCTCCCTTATTTGTATGGGGATGTATGCAACACAGATATTTCCAAAGCCCACCACCATCTGCTTGGAGTGAAAAAAAGTGATATATCATAAGGAGGCCGGGACCTGACATAGTCAACATCACTCCTCTTTCTCTCCTTCTGCAAATTATCCCAGACTACAAGGGGTGGACTGTAGGATTTTTACTTCTGTGCATTATCGACTCCTCTTATAATAGGGCACCATGGATTATGGACCACGTATCACAACTACAAGGCCCTTTTTTTCATACTACATGTGAAATTCTATGATCTGAGTCCTCTGGGGTTGATTCTTGATAAGAAATTGTGAATATCACCTCTCTGCTAAACCAGCTTCTCTAGCATTTCTTTGGGAATAATCTAATCCCTTCCAATTCAAATCGTACCACCACTGGTCCAAATCACTGGCCTTAAGCCAATTAGTGAGAATATCATGAACAAGGAAATGAAAAAAAATCACATTAATAATTTCCAAAATGTTATTTTCATTTCATCTGTGTTCCAATTTTGATTCTAGCAACAGCTATCTTCAGTGTGCTTCAGATGTTTTCAGAAAGAGCTTCAATGTGTCTTCTGTCACCTGGTATACTATTATGTATGTGTGTCAGTATAAAATAAATCTAGTAGCATTTGTTTTCTGAGTTTCTGCTGTTTGTTTGCCCAACTCTTAAGGAACACAGTAAGGCTCTGCAATCAGAAAGCAGAGTTGTTGTCCCCAAGGAATGTCATCTCTAGCTAGAGATGGAAAATCAGCACCAGAAAACAGTTCAGGATTGAGTGCATGCCAAATTCTCTGAATTTGGAAAAGAGGGTGCAGCGCACCAGCATGGCACATGTATACATATGTAACTAACCTGCACATTGTGCACATGTACCCTAAAACTTAAAGTATAATAATAATAAATTAAAAAAAAAAAGAGAGTGATCAACGTGGGCTCCTGAGAATTCTGGAGGATGTTAGATTTGATAAAGCCCTTGATGTATACCTAAGAGTTGAATATGCAAGAAAAATCATCAAAAAAACTCAGAGTTGGGAATGGACCATAAGATAACCACCTCTTTCTGATTTGCCCAGAACTTTCTGGGTTTTAGCCCTGGATATTCTACATTCTAGGAACAGCCCTGGTCCCTAGGAATGGTTTTAGTGTGTGCAGAAAGCCATGAGGAATAAAATTGGCGACACGAAAAGGCACCAGATTACAGAGGGCTTTAAAAACCATTCAGGTGGACTCGTGTGTTTGCGCCAGCAGTAGGAAGATGGGGTGTGGTGAAAATGTTAAGGCTTTTGTCAGTATGCTAAAGAGATTAGACTCTGTGCAAACAAATGCCCCCTTATCCCCACCTGTTCATGTGACCTCCTCCCTCTTCTGTTTCTTGACTGAACTGTGATCTATGATTCAAGCTATAATGTGTATACCAACAGCCTGTGGCTCTTGTTAAAGTGGAAACTGACTTTAGTAGGTCTGGGGTGGGGCTTGAGGTTCTGAAAATCTAACAAGCTCCCAGGTGACACTGCTGCTGCTGCTATTGATGAAGATGATGCTTTAAGTAACAAGACCTTGGATCCCATCCCATCCCTCCTGAAGGGATGCTTTAAAAACCCTGTCATCAGTTATCCTCACTCTCTCCTCTTTCTTCAACATCTACCACTCTGGGAACTCCCTTCTTTCAGCCTGTAACTTTGCTCTTCAGAGCAGCAGAGTGGTGGTTAAATTCCCGAATCCTGGCTCTTCCAGTTACTAGCTCTGTATCCTTGGCAAAGTGGCCTAACCACTTCTGTGTTTTGGCTTACTTCTCTGTAAAATGGAGATAATAATATTTCCTACCTCGTTAGTTTCTTGGGAGCTGTCAAATGAGATACATGTAAAGTGTTTAAAGTGTTACCTGGCAGGTAGTAAGAGCTCAGTGAGTGTATTCATTTCCTAGGACTGCTATAACAAATTGCTACCAATTGAGTGGCATTTTCTTCTCTCTGCATGAAATGTATTCTCATGATTCAAGAGTCCAGAGGTCCAAAATCAAGATTTTGGTAGTGTTGATTCCTTCTGGAAGCTCTGAGGGAGAAGTTTTATATACGTTTCTCCTGGTTTCTGGTGGTTGTGGCAATCCTCAGTGTTGCTTGGCTTGTAAACTCATCCCTCCAGTCTCTGCTTTGCCTTCACATGGTCTTCTTATCTATGTGTCTGTGTGTCCTCTCCTATTTTTATATCAGTCATGCAATTTAGGGCCTGTCCCCAATCCAATATGACCTCACCTTCACTAATTAGACCTGCAAAGACTCTTCCAAATAAGATCACATTCTGCACTTTGGATGGATGTGAATTCTGGGAGATATTCAACCCACTGTAGAGAATAGTAATAATTATCATTGTCATCATTATCATATTCACCACGTTTGTAAATGCTGGATTTCTTCTATCTATATTAAAATACATCTCATTTCTTGAAAAGCACTCTGACTGAAATCTACCTGACTGCTCTCTGTATTCCACCACTGACTCAACCTGAAACTAGAGGCTACTAGGGATGCCCTCATTGCTGAGCACAACAGCAACTCCCGGTTCTTACCTGGTTTCATCTCCCTGTTGTGTCCTAGCTGCTGCTATCCCTACCTTGGCTTTCCCAATTTATTCTCCGTTGTTTCTCTGATTTCTTGATGTCTTTCTCTTCGGTCTCCTGTAATGCCTCAATTTCGATCACCCTAGGTGCCCAGTATTTCATATTTGACCATCTTCTTTTCTCATGCTATGGCCCTTCAAGGGTTTCACTACCACTCATATCCCAAGGACCTTCTCATCCTACCCTAGCGATGGCAATACCCAGATCTTGATAGTACTGGGAGGTCAAAACTCATCACATGATAAACCTAAAGTGTGTACATTTCACACTGTGTAAATTTTTAAACTGTTAAAAAAACACATTGAACTCCAGTTAATGCTAAATTAGGAGTGAGGTGTACTGCTGTCAGTAATTCAGTTTGAAATGCATCAAAAATTAGATGAATAGATGGATGGATAGAGAGATAGGTGTGTGATAAAGCCCACACAGCAAAACATTAATAATTATAGAATCTACTCATGCAGATAGGGATGTTCACTCTATAATTCTTTCAGCTTTGCTATATGTTTGGAAATTACCATAATAACATGTGTGGCAGGGGGAATCTTGTCTCTGGGTCAGACCTCCCTGCTGAATCCTGATCTTTATAATATATTAATGCACTTGTTCTTCATTCTCCAAGGACTCTTTCACTTCTTATGATTGAGGTTCATCAATTTATGCAACAATTTTGATTTTGAAAACCTATCATGGGCCAAGCACTATTGTGGGTGTTGAAGCCACAGAGATAGTTTTTTTTTTTAACTCTAACCAGGAAGACTTGGGGTGAGATAGAGACAAGAGTCAAGGATGATTTTCTTGGATTGATGTTGGTGTCATTCACTAGAACAGGACTGATAGGAAAGGGGTCAGCTTTTGGAGCAGAGAGAGGGATGCTGAGTTTGGAAGTACTTGTGGTCATCCATTTAGAAATATACACTAGTTGGAAATACAGGCTTTGAATGGAGGAGCAAGGTCTGAACTAAGCATAGAAAGAAAAACAGTATCCAGTAAGAGAATCTAAGAAGAGAAGATGTGAGAGAGGAAACCAGAACCCTAGGGAACCCCAATATTTAAGAGGCAGGCGGCAGAGGTAGAGCCAGAAAAAAAAGGTTGGAAGAGGAAGTTCAGAGAGGTGTGAAGAGAATTAAGAGAGAATTCATACCCTGGAGACTGTACTATTTACCTTTAAAAATTTTTTCACTTCAAGTGGTCATTCTGAACCATTGTTTTCTTTTGTGTTCTATTATCACCAACAACTCTAAGTGGCTCTTTGATGTCACTTTCATAAGGCTGTTTGAAGTTCAGACCAGGTCATCATGACTAGAAATTATGGCTTCCAGAAATAAACTGAATCCCGGTCATCTAGAATTCATAAACCAGCAGGGTGCCTAACACCCAGGGTGCAGTATGTTCTTAAGAGTACATGAGCTCTAGGAAAGAAATTTCCAAGTTTTTTTCCTCCTTGATGATATCTAAGGTAAATAACATGTATATACACTGAGCCCTTAGGATGACCACCTTAAACCCCTGACAACCAAGTGCCAACACCCAGGTTCTATGCCTGTGTTTCCACTTGCATTGATGTTCATGTTGGTAGATTCAACTGTCATGGACAAAGGAGCAAACCAAAAAGGGAAGGGTATCCAGTACTAAAAGTGACATTTCCACATCCTGGATAAGCAAAGGCCTTGCAATATTTCAAATATAGAAAAGAGATGGTTCTTTGATTCACCTCATGGTACATAGAAATCTAAATGTGCTCAACTCAAAAGAATCTAAATTACATCAGTTTGTTCAAAATTCATATTAAGAATAGCAACTTATGTATATGAAAGCATCACCTGTTACATTATATTAAACTTGTAGGCTTGGGATGTAACAAATTTGTTGTTTGTGGTGTATTTAATTTGTAAAGATTTTTTGTTGTTGTTCCATCATTTTATAGAAGTAATATAAGCAGCAGGAGTTGAGACATTTGGAAGTTGATCCTGGTGGGCCCGGGAGAAGTTTCTCCATTAAAATGGACCATGCCTTTCCAATAAAAGGGTCTGACAGTCCCTCCTCTGATATGTCCAAGGCCTGTTGATGAGACTGTTTTGTTTTAAATTTGAAACTCTGTATGTTTGTATTTTCGTGTCTAGCAGACATTGTTTTAAAATTGCTAGTTTGTTGCATTCCTTTCCTTTTCAGATAAAGTTGTCTGATTTTGGTTTCTGTGCTCAAGTTTCCAAAGAGGTGCCGAAGAGGAAATCATTGGTTGGCACTCCCTACTGGATGGCCCCTGAGGTGATTTCTAGGCTACCTTATGGGACAGAGGTAAGGGGGTCACAGTCATAGGCGTGGCAGGACTGGGGACAGGCTCAGGGACCCATTGGTTCTGAGATAGTTGGTGACCACAGGAGATGGGGGCAATGACTTTTAGCTCCACATTTGATCCCCACTCACTAGATGAGGCACAGAGTAGATAGGCTGTGGCAGGTGGGAGCCTGGCCACCCCTGGGGCAGATCACTGCAGTATTTATCCAAGGGCTGTTTATTGCAGTCCTACAGTGGACACTGTGGGAAAGTCACTCCAACTCTGATCCCACTCTCAGTAGCAGGCACACACACAAAGCAAGGCAATGCAACTTGCAAAGTGGCTGGAGACATGCAGATGAGCAGGCATGAGAATTCAGAGAAAGGAAAGAGGATCAAAGAAAGTGCCACAAAATAGAGGTGATATTTAAATGACCCACTGTTTTCAACACAGTTTACATCTCACAGTGAAGGACCTACACTGTTTTCTCATAGGAAAAAAATAATATGTGAATCATAGTCAAAAACATGGCACAATTTCTGTTTCCACTGGAATGAAAACAATCACTCTTAATCTTTTAAGAGGTAGGGCCTGGAAATGTGAAAATGCAGGGCCAGAGGAGTAGAGGAAGGGCCTTCTTGGGAGGTAATAGCATGGGTGGAAGCTTAGAGGCACATAAGGCTACATACAGATGGAAGCCAAGGGGTATGTTTCGGCTAGGCATAGTGTTTCCACACTTTATGGTGTGGATGGTGAATCTGGGAGAAGAGAAGCATGAGAAGACATGGCCGTGAGCTAAGGACATCAGCATAAGTTAAGGCAGAATCTTTCTCTTTCTCTTGTTTGCTTGACCTTGGATGAGTCCTCAACTTGTTTTTCTCACTGTGGTCCTGAGAGAGAAATTCTCGGTGAAGGTCACTGCAAGGGGTAATAATAGCAATACGTTCATCAGATAAGAGGTATAATGAGGCCCTAACAGGAAACTTTCCTAACAGGAAAGTGAGTGGGACTGGGAGTTTATAGCACAGTGATGGCTCCTCATTGTCTCGACTTCCCATTCTTTACTACTTGCTTGTCATCTCTTCCTTTTCTTTTCTCCAATCCCTGAAAATGCTTTTGTAAAGTGAGGTTTTGTGCATGCTGTTTTGAAATGATAATAAAAGGTAGTGGAAGGAAATCCCAAAGTAGGGGAGAAAAGAGCTATTTTTAAAAGCAAATTAATAAAAGAATCAGAATATATTCTGCATCCTGCAAGGTAGCCCTTTGCAGTTTGTTACAAATATGTCAAAACTTTCTTATTTGCTTATGGTTTAAATACAATTTTCTTCTCCATTTTCATAGCATTAAACCGGATGATTTTCTCATCTGCCCTGATAGACAGTTAACTACTAAAGTTTACAGAGTAAAAATGAAAGCACTAAACTTTAGAATGTTAAAATATTCATTTATGTCTGATGGGTGGAACCTTCACTGAAGTTGTCCATAAAAGGCAAAGACTGTTAGCAAAAACTCGGTAACCCAGCAGTTTAGCCTATAAATCTATATTGTAAATGTTGAGAGGTTACAAGTGCCATAGTCACTTGTGAATGAGTATGAGGTTCTGTGGACACACTTGACATTTCAGAATGTTCTCCTTGCCTGAGATAACCAGTAGGGTGTGCCTAACAGGTGGACATCTGGTCCCTCGGGATCATGGTGATAGAAATGATTGATGGCGAGCCCCCCTACTTCAATGAGCCTCCCCTCCAGGCGATGCGGAGGATCCGGGACAGTTTACCTCCAAGAGTGAAGGACCTACACAAGGTGAGAAACAGCAGCTGTTGCTAAAGTTCAGAATAGTTTTTGGATTTTCCTGTATCTCTCTGGTTTTTAAGACTGGCTTACCACATCCAGCAGGAAGATCCTGGTTTATGAGCATGGACTTTGGAAATAGTCACTTAGGTTTGAATCTCTGTTCTTCTATTCGTTTACTGGGCAAGTGACTCAGCCTTTCCTATGCCAAAGTTCTTCATCTGTAAAATGGGTTATGATTGGCCTGTATCCCAAAGGGTTGGTTAGAAGAGTAAATCAGGTGCTCTATGCCATACTCATTCATTCAGCATCTATTACATGCTGGGGACATCTAATAGCTTGGGATGTCACCGTGCATGACCCCAGCTTTTCTGACTCTGGGGTCTAGACTCTGCATTCTAGTTGGGGAAACAGATAGTAAACCATAAACAAACAAATAAATAAAATAATTTCAGAGTGTGGTACATACTATGAAAGAAAAACATACTGTGATGTGACAGAGTGTGCAGGAGAAGGGATTGAAAGCTGGTTGTATGAGTCTGTTTTTACACTACTATAAAGAAATACCCAAGACTGAGTAATTTACAAATAAAGAAGGTTTAATTAACTCACAGTTCCACATGCCTGGAGAGGCCTCAGGATACTTACAATCATGGCAGAAGGCGAAGGGGAAGCAAGGCATGTCTTACATGGTGGCAGGAGAGAGAGAGCGCACAGGGGAAATGCCAGACACTTATAAAACTATCAGCTCTCATGATAATTCCCTCACTATCTTGAGAATAACATGGGGTAAACTGCCCCCATGACCCAATTACCTTCCACCAAGTCCCTCCCTTGACATGTGAGGATTACAATATGAGGTGAGATTTGAGTGGGCACAGAGAGCCAAACCCTATCACTGATTTAAGCTGAAGAGTGAAGGAAGCCCTTTCTAGGGAGGGATCAAACGAGCTGGGACCTGAATAGGAAGAAGGTACCAGCCATGCAAAGATCTTGGAGAAAAAGGTCCCAGGCACGGGGAGCATCAAGTGGAAAGGCCTTAAGCCAAGAAAGAAGGCTTACATTGCTGGAGTAAAGTCAGAAAGGGGAAAAAGGTAGGTCTTGTCAGAGAGATGGGCAGGAGCTAGATTGTACAGGGCAATGAAGGTCATGGTTAATATAATGCATGTAAGAGACCGAGTGGGGTCTTTTCTGTTTTCCAAGGATTGCCAATTAGGACGAGCTCAGAAAATAATGATGCTTCATCCAAGAATCACCACTGTAGGAGCTGCCAGATTTCCAAAGGACTTGCTCAGAGGATCATTTCTGCAGGACTACTACTATAAACACTGGCCCCATACACACCTCTCTTCCTATCTTATGACAATAAAAGAGAGTGTGTGGCTGCCTTTTGGAGGAGAATTATTTGTAATGGTAATATCTCCTCCTTCCTCACCCCTAAATCTTAGGGAACAGCCCCAGTAGCATCACTCATATAGGTTGTGTGGACCTACAAAAACATAAACAAAAAAAGAGAGATTGAAATTTTTACTGGATTGGACTAAGTCTAAATAATGAAAAGTGGCTGGGTGTGGTGGCTCACGCCTGTAATCCCAGCACTCTGGAAGGCCGAGGTGGGCGGATCACGAGGTCAGGAGATGGAGACCATCCTGGCTAACACGGTGAAACCCCATCTCCACTAAAAATACAAAAAATTAGCCAAGCATGGTGGCGGGTGCCTGTAGTCCCAGCTACTCAGGAGGCTGAGGCAGGAGAATGGCGTGAACCTGGGAGGCAGAGCTTGCAGTGAGCCCAGATCGCACCACTGCACTCCAGCCTAGGTGACACAGCGAGACTACGTCTCCAAAAAAAAAAAAAAAAGTGACTAAAAATGTATCATATGAAAGTAGTCTCACACCCAGTGAGTGCCAATGTTCTTCAAAACCATGTACAAGAACAACTTTAATCCTAATGGTTTCAAAAAAACTGGAAACCAGTCCGAGGTTGTTTCCCAAATGGATAATGTGTGGTATAATTGGACAGTGAATACTACACAGTAATTTAAAAGATATAACTTTTGCCACACGTCGGAGATGAATCTCACAGATACAACACTGAGTGAAAGAAGCCAGATAGAGAAGAAATCAAATATATGACTCCATTTTGGTAAAGTACAAAAGTAAGCAAAACTAAGTTATGCTATAAATTAAAATAGTGGTGACCTTTTGCAGGGAGATAGGGGTTGGCAGGAAGGAAACCTAAAAGTAGCTTCCTAGAGTGGTAGAAAAGTTCTATATCTTGATAGGAGTGGAAAGTAAATAGGGGTAAATGTATGTAAAAATCCATTGAGCCACACTCTTAGTATTTGTGCAGCGGAACCTGGGCATGCTGGCACATGCTTGTACTCCCAGCTACTCAGGAGGCTGAGGTGGGAGGATCATTTGAGCACAGGAGTTTGAGCCTGGGCAACATAGTGAGACCTCATCTCTAAATATATACATAAAGTAAGATATACCTTTAAAAGGAAAATTACAAGACCTTCAAAGAAAAAAATGAGATGTGTTCGATATCCTTACAGAAGCTTGTTTCTCTTAAAGAAAGGGGTTCCACAGAGCCTGTGTGGTTGCAGTTGTTAGAAAAATAAAACGGCTCCCTGTTTATACTATGCTTCATCAAGCACGTGTGACCAGCACCTGCACATACTAAATATTTTGTAATAGCTGCTCTTATCACTGTGATTGCCACTGTTATTTTATGTAGTAAATAAGTTTTCATTCTTAGTTGAGCTGTCATTTACACCTATTATTTCACACTTGAAAAAGGTAAGGAAAACACGAAATGTTAACAAAGACAAGACATGCTTTTGCTTTCACAACATCTTTCTCCTTAAGGTAACTTTCTGGAATTTGAAGTTGTTGATAGGATGAATGGGGAAAACATTTTGGGGACTGGGTTAGGTGTCTGTGTTAGTCCTCAGATTGGTATCTGTGTGTTTTCACAGGTTTCTTCAGTGCTCCGGGGATTCCTAGACTTGATGTTGGTGAGGGAGCCCTCTCAGAGAGCAACAGCCCAGGAACTCCTCGGACATCCATTCTTAAAACTAGCAGGTCCACCGTCTTGCATCGTCCCCCTCATGAGACAATACAGGCATCACTGAGCAGAGGATTCGTGTAGGTGGCAAAGCTAGATGAGGACATGAGAATAATTCAGGAGAACAAAAGGAAACACAGAACATGCAAAAGGCCTGTGCATTCTAGACCAGCCAATTGGTGGGACAGCGTGATGACCGGCAGGGTTCAACAGACCAGGGCATCTTCTTGTGTCTTAAACAGGCATCTCTCCACTGACAGCCGGTGTGGTCACTTGGAGCACGGCTTTAATAAGTCATTATTATATTTTTCAGCCCTTCATCCAGCAAATCAGAAGGACTCAGTACAAACTCCGTTATGATATATCCTAGCCACATGCAGGGTAACATGTAGGATTTTCTATATTGAAAGAATACTTTTCTGGCAAAAAAAAAAAAAAAAGAAAGAAAGGAAAACAAAAAGCACTTTTTTCTTAATGGTAGCAGTATAATGTATTTTGCAACGAATTTGTAATTTTTCTGTACGATAGTTTTGATAATTTATAGTACTTTGATGTCATGTAGCCATTGTATCAGTTGAAGTAATACTTGTTTACTAGAGGAGTTTGAACAAAGCCTTTCCTACTTTTTTATCCCTTTAAGAGAACCAATGATTCTTTAGGAACTTTGAATACTGAATGACTCTCAATCACCGTCAGCTTTAGTAAAATCTCTTTCTTATCCTAACAAGTGTCTTATTTGGTGGAAGAAGAATTAAGAGTGATGGTGATGGTGTGCACGTTTCATTAATCCAACCAAAAATAATGAAATAAAATTTGAGCCACAGTATACCACTCCTTGGGATAAAGTTAAATATTTTTAAAGATCACATTTTCCATGAACGCCTCTAGTAGCAAACCATTCTTTTGCACACCACAATGTTTCCCTCAGTGCCCTTTCTCAAATGGGTACAATGTTCCCTTGTGGCCAAATTTCCCTCCCAGGGAGCAATTTCAGTGCTAGGATCATTGGATTCAGTTCCCAAAATAGAATGTTTCAGTGAGACCATGAGAATTCCAGGCTCACAAAGGGAGAGGAGAGAACAGGGCAAGACGTTTGGTTTCATTTGTCACCATTTTTAAAACTCTGTATGCTAGCACACCAAACTCTTGTCTATATTTACCTTTGTACCACAGTATTAATCGCTATTGTTCATGTATCGTGCTGGAAGTCTGAACTGACTCTAGAGGATGAATTAGCAAGAGGGTATTTTACCAGGTATGATCTGACTTCAGTTGTGCCCATGTTATAATGTGTTTCCGACATAGGAGAGTCGTGCTGCTGTCTAGATCTTCTTGAATGTTGATAAAAATGAATGACTACTACAATACATTTTGTGTTGCTTGTTGGATGAATTTGCATGTTAACTGTAGGCCAATATAGATTTGCCTTTAAAACTCTGGAAGAGCTACATAGTCATCATTAGTTTCTATTAATTATGCATCAGACAAAAGCCATTTGTTACCAAACTGGGAAAACAGAGGCTTTTCTTAACTATTTCACATACTGTAACAAATATGAATTTAAATTTGTGATAGCGCTCTGGTTGCTCTAAGCATAATTAAGAATTTTTGTAATTAATAGGTTGCTAATTATTTATCACTGCTAAAAAGGAAAAAAGGCATAAAATGACCTTCTACTGATTAGATTTTCAGTTTTCTTTCAAACTGGAAATGCCTCCATAAATATGATCTATGATTTTGCTTCATAAAACAGCAAATCAATGTTTTATGTAAAATATTAAAGCATTAATATAAATATGTGAGAATAAAAACAATCTAAATCCAGAAAATGGCAGTCCTAAATGTTCATGAGACAGATTGTATTAATTTAACCAGGACTATGTAGAAGTAGAAAGAAAAGAAAAAGAAAATCTTTTTTAAACCAGAATAAACATTAAAAACTATTGCAGAAAATAGTGGATTTTGGATTCCAAACATTTTCGACAGTGTAATGGAAATTTTTCTGTAATTTTCTTACCATCGGGTATTTTTTAAAGTATTCATTGAGTTTACCAAAAGTTACTGTAGCTTAAAAGGTTTTGTGAGCACTAACTATTGGCAGAAACTGCATTTGCAAATAAAAATAAATGTTTGCCTTTTCCCCATTGTGTTATTGGAAACAGTGATTTCTCAAATTTATTTTATTGAGTAACCAAGAATGATTTCTTTGTGATCTTGGGGAGTGCAAATGAGTTGGTACAAAGTTGTATGTAACATTGTGATGACATGACGTAAAGACAAATATATCCATCCCTAGGGATTGTAAAGAGTGTAAGATGGTGATGTCGATACCACTACTGAAAAAAAAATTACTAAATTCTGGAAGGCCACGTTCAAGGAAAGCCAGGTTCAGGGCTGAAGACTCTCATTCTACTTCCCTGTTCCAAAGATGCAAAACTGATCTGAGGGCTTTTTTAAAAATTAATTAATTAATTAATTATTATACCTTAAGTTCTGGGTTACATGTGCAGAACATGCAGTTTTGTTACATAGGTGTACACCTCTCGTGGTAGTTTGCTGCACCCATCAACCCATCACCTACATTAGATATTTCTCCTAATGTTATCTCTCCCCTAACCACCCACACCCTCACAGGCCCCAGTGTGTGACGTTCCCTTCCCTATGTCCATGTGTTCTCATTGTTCAACTCCCACTTATTAGTGAAAACATACGGTGTTTGGTTTTCTGTTCTTATGATAGTTTGCTGAGAATGATGGTTTCCAGCTTCATCCGTGTCCCTGCAAAGACATGAACTCATCTTTTTTTATGGCTGCATAGTATTCCATGGTGTATATGTGCCACATTTTCTTTATCCAGTCTATTATTGATGGACATTTGGGTTGGTTCTAAGTCTTTGCTATTGTGAATAGTGCCACAATAAACATACGTGTGCATGTGTATTTATAATAGAACCTGGATTCAAGAGGTCGTGTTGAGAGCTCTCTGGGAGCCTAGAAGATAATTTGGGCTCTCTCCTCCACTTTGGGAGACAAGGGGGACATTAACATTGATCTCGTGAAGCTGGAGGATGGGGGAACTTTTATATACACAGCCTATTTTCCATCCAGAAATGTTGGAAGGTAAAAACCCTCAGGAAGTAGCCTGAGCTAGCAGGATGAAAAAAAGGCATTGTATATCACATGTCAGGGCAGACAAAGGTGGAGGCAACCTCCCCTGGACAGGTCTCCTCTGCCTTTACTGGGCATGGAAGAAGACATGGAGTTCCCTTGAGTATGTTTGATGGGACATGGAGAGGACAGCAGGGAATGTGTCAAACCACTTAACTAAGTAACAGGATGTCCAACTTGCAGAGTGCTTTGGAGGGGTGCACCATGGGGGCAACTGAAGGGAAATATGGCTGCTTTTCTGCATGGAGACAGGGTCAAGGTGGAGCTGACCCTTACTCTAAAAACCACATATGTCATCTACACAAAGACCACTCCGAACAGCAGAAGCTGTAGTTTTCAGTGGAACCAAAATGAGACTCAGGCCTCTCCCTTTCCTCCAATAGCATCTCCAAGGCAGCTGACTACAGCCAGCTAGGTTACTGGAACCTCCGCTCCCCACTAGTCCACATAGAATAGGGCCATGTGTTAGTGTGAGACCCCATGATTTGAAGAAGGTATTTAAGAGAAAGAAAGGGGGAATACAAGAGCACACCATGTATCCTGCACTGCCTCCCAGTTGCTACCTCTTCCTCTAGTAGAAGTTTCACTTGAGCAAAGGAGAGATGTATTATCTTTGAATTAGAATGAGATTGATTTTTAAACTAGACTAGACAGATGGAATCAGACTGAATGGCAGTCACGTCCCCTTTATCCCTGGGGAAGAACACATTTAGTAGCAATCAGTGGAAAAGTAAATCATACCATGAAGTTAACAGCCCAATGAGTTCAGACTGCTCGATCAAACTGATCAAATGAACAGTACACTGTCATCAAAAAAAATGGTAATGAAATTCCAGGCAGAGAAAAGATCAAATTGATCTGAAGCAGATATAAAATGTGCAAGCAGGAGAAATTTTGTGAAAGTGACATGACACAGTACCAATCCACACTGTGCAGGAAAATCAGTCCATTTGATCCTTGAAATGTGTACATATTGAGCTGTGTTTCAAGTCAAATGAATACATTATCTTGGTGTAGGTCCTGCCAAAAGAAGAGCTTGAATAAAGACTTAGACACAAATACTTCATTTGGAAGATGATCCCAGGAAGGTCAACATGGCAGAGTGAAGAAATAAGACAAAGAGAACAAAGTCAAGAAACTGTGTTTTAATGAATGGGATACCACAATAGGCAACTGGGGCTCAATCCCATTGGTGACCTTCTGAGAGACACTTGAGAATTGTCTTTCTTGAGGGGGGCACTGGTATATTTAATTATCTCCTATCCATCATTAGATGAGAATTGTTCCTGCAGCATCAACTCTCCTCGCCCTGCACATGGGCAAAGTTTGTTCCCTTTGCTAAAATTGACACAGCAAATGACCTCCAGGAAGGGATGAGGGAACACGAGTGGGACCCTGAGAGCATCTCCTACATAAATAGACCTAACTAAAGACAAAAAGAGTACATGAGAAAGTCTATGGGTTGCTGATTTCTGGATCAAAATATATTGTTCTAAAAGCAAAGAAATTTCTTATCCTGATTTTCTCACATGACAAATGTTTTGATCATTAAGCCTGATCATTGTCAGCATTTCTAAAAACTTAAAGCTAGAAAAGACAAGATCTTATGATTCACTTAGGCTGAGTTAACCAAGGCCCCAAAGAGTTAGGTAATGACAGCACATTAATCATAATACAGGTTGAGTATCCCTTACCTGAAATACTTGGAACCAAAAGAAGTGTTTCGAATTTGGGATTTTTTCAGATTTTTGGAATATTTGCATTATACGTACCAATTGAGCATCCTAAATCTGAAAATCTGATATCCAAAATGCTCCAACGAGCATTTTCTTTGAGCATCATGTTAACATTCAAAAAGTTTTGAATTTGGAAGCATTTTGTATTTCAGATTTTCAGATTTAGGATCCTCAAACTGTACCTAAATAGACAGGTATACACACATGCACGTGCACGCACTTTCACACACACACACAGACACACGCCCCACATATTTCAGTTCCATGAGGGCAGGAGTTCTTATGTATTTTCTTCACTGCTGTGTCCCAGTACCCAGAGCAGCGTCTAGAAAGCACAAGATCAGTGCTAAGAAATACTTATTATCTCATCTGTCATGAGTGCCTTTGTAAACCATTTCCCAGCAGACAACCTGACAGGCTCTGTCACTTTAAATGACAGCTGAAGTACCATTGACCCTGGACCCTCTTGGCTGTCTGAGCTTATAATCTCCTTCTCAGAAAAGTTTTTAAAATGCATAAAGTAAAATATGTAGGCTTACAAAAAAAAAAAAGATTAAAGTATCATTATCACAATTTTAAAATGCGGCTATAATGCATTAAATAACAAGATCTTTTGATGGGTCAAATAACTACCATAATTTCAAAGTAATGAGTATAAATGATTCTTTTGAGATATAGCTGGCAAGTGTAATGTGGCTATTTCTATTGATGACAAATTCACAGGTCTTCTTATACTGCAGTGGTTTAATGCCCATGTTCACCACTGAAAGAAATTCTACTTTTCATTTGAGGTTAGTAAAAACTGGAGGTATAATTTTTTCCCATCCAAGTTCATAAATTCTGACAGATCCCCTCAACCCAAAACTGATAACCCCTGAGTGATTTACTGAACTGGGGTGGAGGGGAATCCCTGCATAAAAATTCTCTGAATCCAAAATAAATTGACACAGAAAACTGTAGAAGTCAGATTTAAAACTCTTTTTTTTTTTTTTTTTTTTTTGAGACGGAGTCTCGCTCTGTCGCCCAGGCTGGAGTGCAGTGGCACCATCTCGGCCCACTGCAAGCTCCGCCTCCCAGGTTCACACCATTCTCCAGCCTCAGCCTTCCGAGTAGCTGGGACTACAGGTGCCTGCCACCATGCCTGGCTAATTTTTTTGTATTTTTGGTAGAGACGGGGTTTCACCGTGTTAGCCAGGATGGTCTCGATCTCCTGACCACGTGATCCGCCCGCCTCGGCCTCCCAAAGGGCTGGGATTATAGGCGTGAGCCACCGCGCCTGGCTAAAACTCTTATATTAGTCCCTTTGAATCTTTCGTGACCTCTTGTTTGGCAGGTAAAATTTGAACGTACGTGTTAAGAATTGTGCTAGCAAAATGCCACTAATGATAATTTTTAGAGAGTCTCTCCAATGTGACAGGCATTGTGCTAGGGACTTCCAGGTGCTTCATGAGTCCTCAAAAAAAAAATGAAGTAAGCTTCATTTTCAGATGAAAAAACATGAACCCAGAGAAGCCTAATAATTTGGATAATGTTGCACATACATTGATAGTAGAGGCTTTTTAACCAGAAGTCTTCTTATTTCTCCATCAACATTATCTGGGGAGCAGAGTAAAACTACAGATTCTAGGGCCTCACCACAGAGATTCTCAAAATAATGTCTGGGATGATGCCCTAGAACTAACATCTTTCAAAGGTCTCCTAGGATGATTCTAATACAGCGTGCCTTTGAATGCACTTTGAGACACAACGATTTAAAGCTTTCTCTGGCCCAGGTTGCTTGGTGTTTGTTCCGGGGAAGGGTTTGAGCACAATGCCAGTTTGAACCACCTGCCTGGTAAAACCCACCCCTACACATGCAGCAGTCTGCTTCACCCAGATGCTGCAGGTCACTCCTACCATCTTTCCTCCCCTTTCTCCATTCACATTTCTCAGATGTTTCTTCCCATACCCATGTGGTTTGCCAAGGCTTTGCTAATGGAAAGATTGGACAATTGACAAAAAGAGAGAGATGATGGTTTGGAGGGCATTCTCAGGCTCCAGATAAGCGAGTGCTTTCTGCCCCTCTGAGGCTGTTTCACTGGGAACTGTTTCCTGGGACTGAGGGAATCCTGCAAAGAACCATGCTCTGAATTTAAATCAAAGTCACCCTCCCTCAAGAGAAATCCACATATGGTCCATCTGGCCTGGCTTTTCCAGGCAGGCATACCCAGCAACCAGGCCCAACATCCTCTTGTGCCCACAGGCATTTGTGTTTAAAATCCCAGTAAAAAAGAAAAATGACAGTTCAAGGGGTAATTGAGCATCTGTGTTTTATATGTTTTCTTCCCTGTCTCTGAAGCTTGAGAAGCAATGCAGATAAATGGGCCATTGCCTCAGGCTATTCCTGGCCCAGGAGCAGCTGCAAAATGTTAGGACAATGGCAATGACAATGAGTATGGAGAGGGCCCAGAGCTGAGGCCTGGGGTGGAGTCCGTCTTCCTGGACACCCTGAGCTGGGAGAATGCCAGGCTGCCAGGCACAGACGTGTCCAGAGACCACTTCCTGCTCTATGTCATGAGGCTCCCCTTTATCGTGTTTAATTGATGATAAAGATGAAGACATGGCTGAGAGAAATAAGGTGCAGTTCAAAGGCAACTAGACTGAGTTTGACATATAATTTTTAAATAGCTAGGTAAAAATTACATGGTAAACAATATTGATAATCATAACAGTAATCGTAATAATGGCTTTTTATACATCCTGCACATTACTTGTGGAAAAATCACTGTTATTTGGATTCTGGAAAGATTGAAGTAGCTGAGACACAGAGATGTGGTCATGAGTCAACACTTTCTAAAGATTCAGGGCACTCTGACATTTTGAGAATGACATGTTTGTTGTATGTTGTTTGTTCTCTTGTCAGTCCTTCCCTAGAGAAACTAAGGCCAAGTTTATTACTTTATAGGCACTACGGAGCCTGTACTCAATAGGTGCACAAAACAATAGTAGGTGTTATGTACATTTACATAACAATGATGTAATTACATGACAATTCCAAAACTAATAATAAGCCTTATGTTTTGTGAAAGCAAGTTTAAAGAAAAACATACACAGAAGGGAATTTTCAGACATATGACTCAGAAAGGTTTAAGATTTCTTTTTCAAAACGGTTGCAGAAGGGAATGGTAACTCACTGTGAAGTCCCAGATAAATCTAAGTGTCCATTTCTCCCCTAGATATTCAGATGGGTCCAAATAAGGAATACAACGTTTAAAGAAAATACTGGGATGCTAAAAAGGAAAAGTTTTGTCAAGTTTGGGGAATGTGGGTGAGAAGATCACAGATCACAGATGAGTATAAGAATGGAGTTAACCATCTTTTAGTTTTCACCAAAGGTATTTTTTTCCTTGTGCAACATGCAAATTTTAGGAGGAATTAAAGATTTTCCCTCACTGGTAAGAGGCAGACACTGAAGAGAGATCATGAAGACAAGAAGATTGTGGTTAATAGAAGAGCAAACAAATGGGAAATAGGACAGAAACTGGATGATACTTGGTGAGATTGCTGGGATAATGAACTTCTGAGGATACCCTATTGTGAGCAGTTTGAAGACTTAGGGAGAGGAGTTCATGAGCTGCCTCTCATATGGTGGAGACTGTATATGTGGAGGGAGAGAGTTCCACTCTAAAACCAGACAAAAGATTTTTCCCTACTCCCACTCGGACATTCTGGGAAAAAAATGATTATTTAGAAAGTGAATGAATTCAAACTATGTGCATTTCTCTAGGAATTTTCCTTCAAATAGAAGTCAACTTAGGCTACTACGTCCAGCCCACCTTTTTAATCCAAAGTGAAATGCCAAACTCAAGACCAAGAAGCATCAGAAGCAATATTAGGCCAACTGGTCAAGAGGTGCCATTATTAAAACTATTTATATTTGCCAAAAAAATCCATGTTTTTTTCACCTAGAAAAGCCAACTTCCCCCTCATTGGTTTCCTGCCCTGTCTTTACTTTTCCTCTTGCAAACATGCAAAATCCGTCTTCATCTTTTCCTCTTTCTCTTCTGGACGCCAAAGACACCATTTTAGCTTTGTTTTCTTGTTTCAAGAAAGCAGCCAAAGGCCAGAGAATAGTGTGTTTTATTTCATTTTGAAAAACAGACTCACACAGATTGATTCTTCAGGTCCCCCGACTTGGACCTGGCACAGGAAGAAGTCCAAACAACTCTGCATAGTTACATTAGTCGTTTTCTGGTGCTGCAGTCGCTGGATGCGGGTAGCAGTGAAACATTCCCAAGACAATCACTAAACATGCAGAATGCCAGCCAGAAGCATGAATCACTTTCAGGGGTCTTGCTGCAGGGAGCATGAGGTTGTATTCTGTGTGCATTGACAACTGTATAGGATAAGCCAGCTGTGTCCAAGGGAGCAAAGCACCCCATATTCTTCTGAACCTAAAGGGGTTTCCTCCTCAAAGAAGCATGTTTTCAATCCCTAAACTTTGGGGCCAGATACAGCTCCAAGTGGCATTTATTGCTCTTTGGAGAGTCAAAGCCAAGCCACCATGAGCACGAAAGCTGTCTGAGACCCTCCTCCCCTCCTCCCCAGCATGGAGAGAATAATTGCCATTTCACCCTACAAATCCGAAAGAGTCTCCCCCTTCCGTGGGTTTAAGCATGGACACAAGCCAAGCAAGCCTCAGATACCCAGGCCTGTTTGATTGTAGCTATGTTGGTGTATCTCGTGTACAAGATGGAAAAGTGCTTTTGTTGTTCTACCTGATCCAGTTGGGGGAGCAGGAATAGGGGGTGCCTGCCTAACGGCCTCTAGCCCATGTGCTTATACTGGGATCTGTCCCGAGGGATCTGCACCTGGTTGGCAGTCATTTTGTGGTGGACGTGGTAAATCGCGAGTGTTACCATGATGACGAGGCCCAAGATGAGCCCCAAAATCAGGGGCAAGGTTTCTTCCAGTTGCTCCCGCTCATCCACTGGGCATTTATGCTCTGCAATGGGAAAGAAGAAAAGCAGAGAGCTCTGGTCAAAACATCCTGAATCATAAGTTCTACAAAACAAAAAGGGAAATGGAGGTAAAAAGATTTCTCAAGGAAGCTTTGGGACTATTTTTCAGAAATAGTTTTCCCTAACCAACCCCTAGGTTAACACTTAATCGTTCTACATAATGCGTAATAAAAATACATCAATTAACTAGGACAACATGTAATTATTGGATTCCTGGCAGATGTCAACAAAACATCCAGATAACTTATTTAAATGTTCAGAGTTTCACCATTAGACACAATCATCATTGTTTTTATTGTTGATTCATTTTTAACTTTTTATTAAAGTAATATGTACACATAACGCATTATATAAAAATATGTAAGTTTCAAAAAGACTGAAAATACCAAGTGTTGGTGATGATGTGGAATGACAGGAACTTGTAACACCCTTGTTGAAAAATGTTATGACCACTCTGCAAAACTGTTCGATAATTTCTAATAAAGACAAACATACCCAGCATCCCATTCTTAGGCATTTACCCCAGGAAAATGAAAACATAGTCAACAGGAAAAGACTTGAACATAAATGTTCATAGCAGCTTTATTCATAATAGCCTAAAACTGGAAACAACCAAAATGTCCATCAAAATGGAATGGATAAATTGTGGCATATGTTCATATAATGGAACAGTAGTCAGTAATAAAAAGGAATGTACTATGGCTACACATAACAAAATGGGTGCATCTCAGAAATATTATGCTGACAGAAAATTGCCAGACACAAGGAGTGTATACATACTGTATGATTCCATTTATATGAAGTTCAAGAGCAGGTAAAACTAACTCTGTGGTGATAGAAGTCAGAATGTGCTTATATCTGGGGAAAGGAAAACAAGGGAACTTTCACCTGTGTTGGAAATATTGTAGATCTTGATCTAGGAGATGTTTACATGGTTGCAAATATAAGTACGAAAGCATTAAACCATACATTTTAGATTTGTTGATTACTTTGTTATTTTTTATTGATACACACTATTCATACATATTTATGGGACACGTGATATTTTGTTATGCGCATACACTTTAATGATCAAGTCAGGGAATTTAAGATATTCATCACCTCCAGAATTTATCATTTCTATGTGTAAACAATGTTTCAAGTCCTCACTTCTGGCTATTTTGAAATGTACAACACATGGTTGTTAACTATAGTCACCCTACTCTGCTATTGAATATTAGAACTTATTCTTATCTAACTATATGTTTGTACTCATTAACCAACCTCTCTTTAGTCCACTCTCCCCAACACAAACACACACACGCACACACACACACACACACACACACCCATATCCTTCCCAGCCTCTGGTATCTCTCTACCTCTCTGAGGTCAATCTATTGAGCTCCTACATGTGAGTGAATACATGCAATATTTGTCTTTCTGTATCTGGCTTATTTCACTTAATGCAATGTTCCAGTGCCATCCACATTGTAGCAAATGACACCATCTCACTCTTTTCAATGGCCAAATAGTATTCAATTATGTATATGCACCACATTTTCTTTATCCATACATCTGTTGATGGACACTTAGGTTGATTCTGTAACTTTGCTATTGTGAATAATGCTGGGATAAACATTAAGGGTGCATGTAATATATGTAAATTATGCTATAATTTTTAAGTAAGTGTAGAGCTTGATGAATTTTTACAAATGAACATCTCATGTAACCAGCATCTAGATCAAGAACACAAATGTTAGCAGCACCTCAGTGTTGATTTATTTTTCAGCCTCCTAAAATTCAAGATAGCTTCATAGTGCTGAGTCTCCATTTTTTTACATAGAACCACCATCAACAAAAAACTATTCTTGGGAGAACTTCTAGTGGTCAAACAGTTTGTCAGGCTAACCAGAATTATATTCCTAGAAACTAGAACAGGCTCATTTGCTTCTTGTGGGTAACTGGTGGCCTTTTAACCAAAATCAGGAGCCACAAGTGAAAAATAAACAAGCTTTACATGTCTCTTCATAAACACCAAGTTTTTTAAGTCCAGACGACCAAGTAAACATTTATTAAGTACCTACTGTATTCCAGTCTCCTCCAGAATCCCTATTGACATAGTCCCTTCTCTCACCTTGCCTGAGATCAGCAGAAATGAAAAGGGATGAGCTTTCCTCTCTAATAATAACAATTAGTGGAGACTTACTTTCACATATACAGCCTTTGATAGCTGTATACTTGACATTCTTAGTCCCTAAATTAACAATCAGTTCTAAGCACAAAGATTATCTGGTTAACAACCCTCTGAGGTACACAATATTATTATACTCATTTTACACATAAGGTAATCAAGTCATAACGATAATAAGTGGTTTGCCCAGGAGTAAATGAAGCCTGATCTGAACTCAAACAACTTAACACTATAGTTGGGGCAGCACTTAACAGACCTAAACTACTGGCATTAAAAGGCCACAGAATCCCAAGGTGGAGCAGAAAGGAGGATTTGTCAGTTCGGTTTCCTGATCTGCATGCTGGTTGCAGAGGTTCATCTAGCATCTGAAAATTCAATGAGCTGGATACTTATTACAAAGGGGAACAAGGAAGTTTTCCAGCATGATGGATATGTTGATTTCTTGATTGTGGTGATGGCTTCACAGGTGTATTCATAAGTTGATATTTACTAAATTACATGCTTAAATGCATACAATTGTACCTAAATACAACTGTTTTGTATGTGTGTGTATATATATATATATATATATATATATATATATATATATATACACACACACACATATGTATATGTATCTATATAATACACATATATATAATAGAAAAAGAAATTCTACTAGAAATAGCTTTTTTAAAAGATAGTTTGGCAAATGGTAGAGAAATGTTAAGGACTTATTAGGACTAAACTGAGCCTTTCTTCTTATTACAACCAAAAGTTTGAAAAAGAATTTTCAGGAAACTTTTCCCCCCACTATTTGATTCCATTCTAATGAGTCCCAACACTTTGAAGGTCAGCCTGGATCAATACATCCATTGCTCCAGGGACAGGACCTGAGATGACACAGTGTATCAGAAAGAGTGGCAGGCCTAGAACTTCATGATGCCAGCATGGCGGTCTTCTTCGCCAGTATGATACCATATTGCCTCTTTAAAGAGAACAATGAATAGAAATGGATCACGTGGGGTAGGAATTTTGTTAACAACAAAGGTTATTTATTTTCCTCATGATAACACTCTGTTGCCCATGTAATGTTAACACAGATTGCAGGGTTTGATTGGTTTGCAGGCGCTAGTGGCAACCTCATACAATTTTTTCTTACTTAATACAATACATTGAATAGAAACAAAGAATTTTTAAAAATTTTAAAATATTAAGAAGAAATACATTGATTTCAAATTATTTAGTAATAAGGCTAAGTCTGTGTTAAACAGTAAAAATAAAAAATAAATTATCTCACAAAAAGTAGCAAAGCCCTCAGGACCTTCAGACTCTCATCTATGCACCTTTCCAGGCTGCTACTTGAGTAGGCCCCAGGCATCTTTACAAGGTTGCCCTTGTGGCTCTAGCCTCTGTCTCTTCCCTTCTTAACTCTCTCCCCTGCAGAGCAATTTCATAGTTACCCAGACTGTAGACCATGGTTTTAGCTCACTTCTTCCTGCTTACACTCTAGTTACCCAGGCAAACAATCAGCCAGAAGCCCGAAATACAACATCTACCTTCCTAGGCAGAATGGGAGAGGCAATGGAGAAAGAGCTGTGTCTGGGAGCAAGAGCTTATGTAGCAAAATCACTGGAGAACATGGACAGGTGGTGTTCTGTGTGGCCCCAACTACAAGTATTCAGGACAGGGAGGGTGGGGAGTTAACAAAGCTTCAGGAGGAAGGGAGGTTGGAGTTGGATTGGGAAGAATCTGGGGATGGGGCACCAAACGACCTTGACCAATTTGTAAAGTCATGTCTTCTCTTTTCTCTTGTTTTATACCATAGCAATGAATAAACAGATATATAGTTAGATATAGCTGTAGAAATAGAGATATACATGAACTTTTAGTGGTCTCCATAGATCCAGATCATCACATCAAGAGGGAGTAGATGTAATGGAACATTGTGAGAGAAAGAGATGATAGTGGGCTCAGATCCCAGATCTTCCACTGTCCAACCCTGGGTGAATCTCTTAATCTACTAAGCTTCAGTTTCCTGTAAAATCGATATGACACCTAATTTACAGGGTTGCTGTGAGTATCCAACGTCATACTACAGAAGGCCAAGCACAGTGCCTGGCACAGAGTAGCTTTTCTGTCATTGTTCACTATAAAGATAGAAGTCTTATACATTTAAGTCTTCTGTGTACTTCTTTTAAATATGGGAGTCTTTGGAGCTCAAGTACCAAAAGTATTATTTCTAAATTGATAATAAAAAAGAATGTCTCACATCCCATTCTTTAAGAAAATTAGAGAAAAGATGATATAGTATGGTAAAGAAAGAGAAAGACAATATGCTTAGAATGCTATCATGATTTATTTCTCAGACGATTATCTTTTGTTGCTTTAGGAAAAAAAAATAGAATTAATCACACCACAGGAAAGGGCAATATAAAGAGGATATCAACTATGAAGATGTCAAAAAGTATCATAGCTACTACCAAATCCTGCACTTACCAACCCCTAATCAGTAAGTGGTCAAATAAAAAGGAATTCCTGAGCCCACTCTCTCATCCACTGTTTCAAAATCCACAAAGCTCTGAAAACCAAAAGTACTTTGTAATCACTTGTTTGGCAGCAAAACCTGACTTTGTCTAATGTGAGGCTGCTTGTAGTTTTCAGTCATCCTACTTAGTATGACGTTTCACATGTTTCACCGCAGGAAACAGATATATTAATATGTTTGATTGCATGGGGCTGCCCTGACTCTTCCATGGTCTTATGTAATATATAAATTGTGCACTGTATAGTCTTCCTAAAGTCTAAAATATTCTGAATTCTGAAAACCATCTAGCACCAAGGTTTTTTTTGTTTGTTTTTTTTTTTTTTTTTTTTTAGTTCGATCTGGGTTTTAGATGAGGGATTATGAACCCATAAAAGCAGGGCACGCTTTTCTCTTTCAGGCTTAAGACAGTGCTTTTAATCTCTGCCTATGACCCACGGGAAAAAAAAAAAAACAATATTTTACATGGCAGCTTAGAGCATATGTACATGCAGAGAACTAAAGCAGAAGTTTGACAAACAATAGTTATCCTTGCTTTATGCATCTAATAATTTATGCTCTATTCTATTCTGTTTCATTTAAAACAATGCTGCTCATGACCTACTAAGAAAAGGTTGTAATCTTTTTTGTGCAAGTATAATAAAACTAAGGACCCCTTCTCGGAATAATGTTTATGAATGAATAAAAAATAAAATACATACAATTACAAGGGAAAGTGAAATTCAGCCATCAAATATTTTTAAAAGAATTTCAGATACAGCAATATATGTATTTCCTTATTGGAACACATATATGTTGGCCATGATTATAAAGCAGTGAGAAGCATAAATGTTACTTTGCAAGATCTGCACAAACTAAAGTGAGATGAAAATACCTATGATTTCTATTGGTGACAGTCACGGGTACTGCTAATATTACTGTGGTCTGTCACCTTCATTTATAAACAAAGAAAATGCTAAATATTAATCAGAAGTTAGTGAAAATAAAGATATAAATTTTTTCCTCTGAATTCTATCTATAAACTATATATACCCCAGGGTAAAAATCTTGTATTGTAAACTGATTATGCAACCCACAGATTACAAAACAAGGAAGGCCTCTGACTTCCGCCAGGGAGAAGAGCATCTGTTGGCTTAGCCCGGACTACATCTGGCTTCAGACCTCCCTGAACCCCTGACTCCCTATCCACCTCCACAGGACTTAGGATCCCTCATGCCTTTGCTCTTGGTGGACTCAGGGCTCTAGAGTACACACAACAGGGTAAGTGGCTTGTGGCTGGAAGAGACAAAAACCAGCCTCATCATTGGAAAGAACCAGATGAAGACAAAACAAACAATAAATGCATAATCTGTTGCCAGCTGCCAGTTGCCAACAAAAGTCTCCTCAACTCTTAACCCAAGTGTACCCACTAAAATCATAATTTATCTTAGGTGCTGGTTGCTAGATATGTGTTTTATTTCATGACAGCATTTAAAAATTATATTGACTCCCTGAGATAAACTACAAGAGCGCTTCATTGCACCCCCAATGAATGGCATTGGGATAGGCAATGGGAAGCAGAGGCAAGCTCTCTGCTTCCTCAGGCTCTCCTAGCACCATGGACTGAAACTGTTTGAAGAGGTGGGCAAGCTTTCTGCTGGCTGTGCTTCTCCTGTTGTTTGGCAGGGCAAGATAGAGAAAGGGTTTGACGCTCTTTCCATATGTTCCCTGTGCTGGCCCTGGACTCCTATAACATCAGCAAAATATATTTTGTATACTGAGAAGCTGTTAAGATGAGTGGGCTTTGGAGACCTTTGACTGCAGACAAGCTGATACCCTCATCAAGATGTAAGCATTTGCTAGGCACAGTGGCATCACCACCCAGCTACTTGGGAGGCTGAAGTGGGAAGATTGCTTATGCCCAGGAGTTCAAGGCCAGCCTTGACTCCCATCTCAAAAAAAAAAAAAAAAAAAAAAGATTTAAGTATTAGAGAAGAAAAAAATTATAAGTGCAAGTATTGTTTGATGCCACTGTATGCCAGGAACATGACATGCATTGTATACACCCTATCCCACTAGACTGAAAGTTTCAGTGTGGCAGAAAATGTTCTTATATCCCAGTACCTAGGTGTAGTGGACACAGACACTGTCCATTCTTCTTTTGGCATTCACCAGTCCCATATATCCCAACAGGTTTTGACTACAAAGTAGGTCAGAAGTCCCAGGGAGTTAATGCTTCCACAGCGACCATCAGTGATAGATGGCATTTGGTGGGTAAACACTGGTTTGCTCACCCTCAGGTGAGATAATTCTGAGGCATATCTTATGCTCTCTCCAGAGGACAGTATCCGAAGCACAGAATTCTATGACTGGCTAACTCCATGGCCGAAGGCTGGGGCTCCATCTTGGAGTCCTCAACACAGTTCTCAGCTGTGTTCATAACAGATTATTTACCGTTGGCTGCTTACTCAGGAGGCCTTGAGGACCAACTATGTAGGGTGGCATGTTTCTTGACTGGGAAGTGCCAGGTAAGTCACAGGTCTACAAAACTCTCTGGATCAGCAAACCCTTCATGCATTTGTGACATGACAGCTTGCCACAGGACGCTCTACTGGGGGGCTGGTATATAGAGAAATGTCAGCCATGTTCATTTACACTAACACTAAAGTTCCCGCAGATCTGGGTAAAATACAGATTAAGTGGCGTCTCCCAATCATGATGCTAGGAACAATAATAAAAAGCTCATGAATTGGGGGTACCCAACAAACTCTGTAAATGCCTCTCACACTCACATGTTGATTACAGCTACTCAGCAGGAGCAGCTGTGGCCCTGAGATACTAAGGACAAAACCTCTGATACCCAAAGACAGGTTCTAGGAGGGAAGCCTTCACCAATTCGCTTCACCTCCCTGTGTCTCAGCTGCTCCACTGTAAATGGGGATCTCAGTATCTTTCTGCAGTTCTGTTTTGTTTCTTTTTGTTTTGTTTTGTTTTGTTATGTTTGCCCCTTGAGAGAGAATTAAAAAGGGACCAATCTATATGTGATGTCTTTTAAATGCCTGATAGACCTGAATCCTGAATAAAGGGAAATAGAGGTAGCCTTCCTATTCTATTATATTTTTTCTGACATAATACATAAAAGTTTCCTTTTACTCAAGGTATTAGAATACTCAGACTGGTTTGTTCCCTCCCAGCGACACATCCCCATTCCCATCTCAGCCAGAAATCACATGGGGCTCTCCAAGGGAATTGCAGGACTTTGAATGAGGCCCTCAGAAATTAATTGTGGAAGAACAAGGTAATCAGCCCCAAATGAGAAACAGAGTGTTTCAGATTGCAGGGGTGATAGCTTCTATTGCAGAGGTGATAGTTGCTGTACAAAGTGTATTTGGTAAATAAATGAGCCAAAGATGGCCTCTGTGTATTGGCCTCTAGGTGGTTTATTTCTTCACTGCAGGCTGAGACTGTTAGCTCAAAAGCCTGTTGGCACCAAACTCCCAAATCTTTACACATCCAATTATTTGTAAAATAGCTTAAACAAGAAAATTTGCAGCTGTATGGAGCCTGCCTGCTTTGCATACTCCTTGAAACCTCATGCAACAGCTGTTACCCATTGATAAGACAGGGCCTTGGAGTTCTAAGGCTCCAAGGCACTGCTGCCTCTAGAAGCTCTGGGACCCATGGACTCCTTGCTGTGCTGCTGAGCAGATGTCACCTGGACACATAAATCCCTCTCCAAAGCCCCTCTGCTTTGGGCATTCCCTTGTCCTCTTCCTTTTCTGAATGGTGGTCCCATAAGCTTCCCTCTGCACAGTCTCCTGCTGTGAGGGGCTTCCCTTCTCACAAATCCCTTTCCAACTGTCACCCAATGAAGCTTATTGTGCCTTTAATCCTTCAAACTCTCTATAGTGCTCCATGGGCCAGCAGTGTCACCTGAGACCTTGCTAGCAATGGAGCTTCTTGGGGCCCACTCCCAGACCTAAGTGAACCAACTCTGCGTGCTAACAATATCACCACAGTCATTGCACATTGAAGCTGAAGTTTCATGAGCTCATTGCTGGGCTAAGAGAGTTTTGTTTGGGGGTCAGTGTAGTAGTCAAGTACAATGCACTAAAGGGACTCATGTGATAAAGATGTCAACCTCCATTTGGGCTGCTCTCAGCCCTTGTGAGTGTCCACTTACCGACTTCGTGGACACTACCTTGATTTTCTCATAAGGCCTATTCAGTAGACAGGTGTGAAGAGTGCCAGGTATGACCCCCTTACACAGGGAATAGACTCTTCACAGGAAACCATTATGCTGTGCTTGACAATGGCCACGGTCCAAACACATGAACACACAAACACACACACACACACACACACACACACGAACACACGGACACACCCCTGCAGTAGGTGTGCAGATATATGACGTGATATTCCTTCTCCATGCAAGCATACTCCACTCACATGCACACACCGAAAGGCCCCTGAGCTTGTATTCTGGGGATAAAGGCCCAGTGATAGATCCCGAAAAGGCACCCAAAAGGAATCTTTAAAATTCCACCAAATTGAAAATAATGATCTCTTACAAAACAAAGTCGGGGCAGGTGCTGAGAGGAACAGAAGGGAGGAGCCAGGAACAAAAAAACGCAGCCACACAAAGGCACACTGATCCAGTGAGTGATTCTGAATGAGGCTTGCCACCTCCCAGGAATGTCAAGGCGTAAGCCTGGGGACACCATACAGGAGAGAACATCCTAATTATTAGCCATAAAAGCCTGGGGTGAGACAAGTGCCATTTGATTGTGACTTCTCTATTTGCATTTAGGAAGTTATATGTAGTTACAAACTCTCTATGTCTACCCAGCAGCCTTCCCTATCTAGGACCTTTAAGTGGATCAAAATTGGTTTTAAAACAAAAGACACCATTTACTCCATGCAATGAATTGTACTGATTTTTAGGAAAGTAGCTCTGCTCCTTATTCAGTACTTATTTATTCTTACTTTATACACCATTCTAAAAATCTATGAGGTTTGATTTCTCAGGCCATAGGCAACTATAAACAACGACTTAAAAATAACACAGAATGGTAAGGAGCTAGAAGAAGCAGCAATTATAGCACCAGTGGTAACAAGAAGTAAAGAAGCGCCTAGTAACAGCTAATCAGCAAAAACTAGAAAGTCATAAACTATTAAGAGTACCCATATAAACTCAAAAGCATTTATGGCAGGGTCCTGGGGACTAGGAACTGACATTACATAGTCCAATTATTTTCATAATAAATTCCTTGTCATCAATAATCATAAGAAGTCAAATTATACTTGATTATGCTTAATATTTTCAGTTTAAGAGAGACACTGACTGTTACATTTTGTAAATGCTTCCATAAACAAAAAGATTTTTAAAAACTGTTAAGGTCTCGACACAGTTTAGTAGCTTCAATTTTGTAGAAAATACATTAACATGGGATAGCCTATCCTTCCACCTGTCTTTTCTTAAAGACAATTTATCTTAGGACTTCTCAAATGCCTTCTCAATAATCAAGGTGGAAGGTGGTGCATTCTATTCTGGAATAGGTTGAGTGGAAGCTGCATTTTATGAAAGCTAGATGCCTTGGAAAATGATCATAGATGACAAAGGTGGAGATTCTCTAATATCCTGAACATTGGCATTGTTGTATTCACCTGGGGGTCTCCAACCCAAAGAAAGGCATAAACAAAGCAATCAAAATTTTTTCTGATTTTTTTTCCATGTAGAATAAACAGAATATAAAATTTAATAACCTCCTTTGTGAGGGAGAGAGAATAAATGATATGAATTCATTTATCCCACAATTGCCCAACGTGAATTGTTGCTTGACTTGAACAAATTGCAGAGGTTTTGACTCCCCTTGTGCCCTACCTCTGCAGGGGTGCTGAGATGAAAAGAATGTGTTTGACCTGAACCTGCCACAGCACAGCTGGGTCCCCTTTCAGAGGCTAAACAGACTGAGAGACAGCCTTGCTCCACACTCAGCAGAAGCAGCTGGCCTTAAACGGCTCAGCCTTCAGGTACCCTTCCCTCCCTGGAGCTTAAGGATATCCTCCTCACGAAGATGCTTGGTGGAAAGACTTGATGAGTCCATGATCTGTGCATACGCACCCACCCCCTCTGCCTTCTGGATGCACAGAAACTCGGACTCACAGCAGCAGAATCTTCAACTAGAAGTATCCGAGAGAACAAGAAGAAACGGGCCCAGAAAGGCAAAGGCCCTTTCCCCCATCTGTAGCTCTCTAGATTAACTAACGTCTTAAATACTTTAGCTGCTTTCTCCTTGGGAAGTTTGCATCAAAATTACAGTTTTTTCCAAAGTGACTTTTTAAATCTTTCTCCCTATGAAGGTTCATCTTTTGGCAAAGGAAAGAAGATGGGGAGAGAGGGAAAGATGAAATATAAGAAGGGAGGGAAGAAGGTAAAGAAAAGAAGAAGGAGGAAACAAAGGGAGACTGAGAAGAAAGGACTAAAGTGAAGGTAAACGGGGAGGAGGCTGGGAGGGAGAAAGAAAGAACTACTGAGATAAGTTCATACATTCAGCTTACTGCTTTTTTAGTCTTTGAAAATTATTAAAGAGGCAGGCAGTGTCATTTCAACCTAGAGGAAATCCAAGTGGTAACATCCTGGGGCCCTGGTAGGTCCCTCTCTCATCCTTCCTGAAATAAACTAGGTCTTCTTCCCCTCCATCCCCCAACAACTTACCTTCACTGAAGACAAAATCTGAGATAATGTCAAAAGGTTGGATGTGGACCGCAGACAGGATCATGGTGACCGTCTTCTGCGGATCACTAGAGGCCAGTGAAATGGTTTGTTGAGCTTGACACTCATAGGACTTCCCAGCGGGGGTGACCAAGGCAGAGAGGTGGTGCGAGTTGGCTGTGTGCTTCCCAGCTACAGCAAGAGCCCAGAGCAATAGTTAGAACCCTCATTGTTCCTAACCTAATGTGCCAGAGAGCTGGCTATTGCCTCTCAGTTCCAGACACCACACCCCTCCTGTCCTCTCTGTTCCCTTGCCAGGGCTAGGGCTCTACAAATGGCATCAAGTGGTGATGAAGGACAAACACACCCATTATCTTGAGAGCCAGGGCTCTTTCAATATTAATTTGGAACTCCTTTTTTGAAGAGGAGAATGATACTTAAAAACCCAACCCTTGTTACTGTATAAAACCTAGGCTGGGCATGGTGGATCCTGCCTGTAATCCCAAAACTTTCAGAGGTCAAGGTGGGAGGATCGTTTGAGCCCAAGATTTCTAGACCAGCCTGAGCAACATAGTGAGACTCTGTCTCTACAAATACACACACACACACATACATTTACAAAATTAGTCTGGCATGGTGACACATGCCTGTAGTCCCAGCTACTGGGGAAACTGGGGTGGGAGAATCTCTTGAGCCCAGTAGCTTACTCCAGGCTGTGGTGATCTATGGTGGTGCCACTGCCCTCCACCCTGGTGGACAGAGTGAGACCGCACTTCAAAAAAGAAAAAAAAAATCCCTAATAATGGAGATTCCAAAGACACAGAAGGAACAGTGACTTGGTTTTCCACATTTCACACGGGCCTGGCAAAGAATAAAACATCTTCCTCAACAAAGCCGGACAGATTGCTGGTCCTCTGGATGCTTGTCCTTACACACATACATCCCCTCTGAAGGTCTGCCTCCCATTGCTCTTTTTCTGACCTAAGTTTGATTTTTCCTTTTTCCTTTTTGGTCTAATTTAACTGGGGGACATCTTGCATCTAAACTTTGATGAAAAAGAAAAAATCCTCCTTTTACTGTGATAACAAAAAGGGGTGAAAAGGGAAAGATGACACATGTATTTTTATGTATTCAATAAAAATCCTTTCCCAACTCAGGTGCCTGGGTGATGAAGGGCCTCATTATGAGTGAAATAGACAACTTATAAAGAATAAAATAAATTTAAATGTGGTCTTTGACGGTGTCTGCAGATAGGAATATTGTTATTTGGGGGATGAACGCTCGTTTTGCCGAGGAGGATCTGGCTGAGTTGTCGGAGGGATGGGCCAGAAACGCTAGTAAATTATACATGGTGCAGAATCCACTGTCAGGTAGCTGCAGTCGATGACTGAATATCCCGTGCGAGCCATGCTGCCATGCGCAAAAAGACACTGAAGGCCATCACATCCTGACTGAAAAGGAAAGTCGCACTGCCCCCTTGCAGTTTTAGCGCATAAGAAACAAAACCAGGATGCGGAAGAAAATTAAAATGCAGCTTTGCCCTTCTCCGTGGTCCTTCAAAGGCCAAATCATAAGAGGTCGTTTTGAAGCACCAGGGAACGACAGGCCTTCAAGGGACTTCTTATCTAGGATCAGGCCACGGGTGACGTTTGGGTCCCCACGCCTGCGGTTCCTGGCGGATCTACAAGGCCTGAGACCCAGAAGACTCATGGGCGCTCCCGCCTCTTCCGCCCTAAAGAGCAAGCCGAGGGAAGACTTGGCCTGGGACCTCAAAGCGTGGGACGGTTTCCAAAACCTTGAGGAATTCTCTCTCCAAGCCTGTTCTGCGAGTTCCCAGGCTCCCTCCCCAGCCATGCCAGCCTCCACTCACCACTGACTGCGTCTTTGAAGTGGGTTTTCTCCGAGGAGTCGTAGACAAACTGCACTTTGCTCAGCCTCCAAGTCGCCTCAGGTCCCTTGGACATGTTGTGGCTTTCCTGTTGAGCCGGGGAGGTGCGCTTCAATCGTCCCCGCAGCGTCTGGGTTCTTAAACCTAGGGGCCGCCACTTCCCACACCCACGCGGAGCCTGCGGCCCCTCTGCCCGCTGGGCTCGGAGTTACCTTTACAAAGAGCATTTTGAGTGCATATGCGCGATCCACCCAGAACACTTGCAGCTCCGACTGGCTGTGGCCACAGCGGCCCTTCACCTCAGCTCCCCGGGTCAATGCGATATCGGCCTGTTCTGTGATCAGCTGGGAACACAGACGCCCCGCGCCCCCTCAGCTCGCCCGGCCCCGGGGCGGGGGCTGTAAAGGGCGGCGCGTCCAAACTCTGGGTTGCACGCTTGGGCGCTCCTTTGCGCGCGCGCATCCCAGGTTCCGGGAACATGCGGTTAGATGCTCTACGTGCAGCCCCGATAGGGAAGCGGAGAGAAGGGGGTTTACTTTCAAAGCAGGCAGGGGAACAGAAGGCATTACAAGCTGGAATCCCCATGCAGCATTCGGGAGCAGCCTGCCGGGGTGTGGGAAAGAAGGCGGGCAACCCAGGTCTTCGAAGAGCCTTGAGGAAGGGTGCCCTTCGCCCTG
Organism: Homo sapiens; assembly: GCF_000001405.40. Classification (NCBI taxonomy): domain Eukaryota; kingdom Metazoa; phylum Chordata; class Mammalia; order Primates; family Hominidae; genus Homo; species Homo sapiens. The sequence goes on along the minus strand of NC_000020.11, from coordinate 9,515,666 downwards.
GAGCCCTAGGAGCAAGCTGAGGGGGGGGAAAGATTCCTTACATCTACGTAGTTGCTGGCCCACACATCATAAGGTACAATAAATTTGGCTGCAAACTCTGCCATGAGACACGTCGTCCCATTTTCCCGCACCACAAATATATCTTTTTCAGGGTTAGTGGAAAGGCCTGAGAGATTTTCCACTTCTTGTTCTGCCATGATTTGAGCCATTGTATCTGCGGAACAAACAAAACAATTCCATCAGTTCAGGGCTCAGCCCACGCGTCTCGGGCGCTAGGGTGGGGAGACAGTGCTCTGCAGGCTTTGGAGTGACAAAGTTCTCTGCCAGCAGCTGTGCGCTCTACGAGCCGTTTCTCTAACCCGGGTCTAACAAGCCTCATTCCTTCGCTGTTAATTTATAATGAAAATACAGTTAAAAAAATTAAAAATCCTGACTTTGTTTGTAATATAGCTGGCTGTTTTCTACATCTTGGGATTTTAAAGTAAATATTTCTTGCCAATGCTCTGACCTCACGAAGCTGGCCTGTCTAGGCTCTGTCTGGAATATGCCACAGAGGTGTATGGCTCTCAGGGGAATTCCCTGCCACCGGCGAGGAAGGCCCTCCCTCCTCCCCTAAAAGAAAAAAAGAAAAAACACCGCAAAACATTAAGGGCCATATTTTTTATCTCAAGCTAATTGACTTTACTTTGCCGGCTCTGTTCTCTGCAAAGAGTGCCCGTCCTCTCTCCCAGTCGCCAAATCGCTACTCACGGAACAACATCAGGAGAACTCGAAGTCTGTCGATGCTGGGGACCCCTCTTCCTTGGAGATCCATACTCGCAGTGCCCCGAATGAGGCCGGCTGTGCTGCTGCAGAGGCCGCCAGAGAGGGAATCCCTCAAAGTCGCCGCTGGAGTGGGCCGGGGTGAGCGAGAGGCGGGGGACAGAGAAGGGGGAGGGAGGGAGCGCGTATTCTGTGAGCGCCTAGCTAGGACTCGGTGTCGAGCGCGGCACCGACAGCTGCTGGCAGAGCAAATCGGCTCACTGCGGAGGAAAGGACCGCACGGCGGTCCACGGCTGCGAGTGCTGAAAGCAATCCGATTGTGTGGCAGGAGTGGCTGTGGCTTGGCTTGTGCGGAGGGCCAATGAGATCTGGGGGGACTAAACTTCTCCCTGGGTCTGTTTCCTGTTCTGCAACTGCATCCGCAAAGATGAGTCTGTTCTGAGAAACTTAATACCACCCTCAGCCTTATTAAATCTCCTTACCAGGTACAGTTATTAAGTGGTGTAGATACCTTATCACTGGAGTACTGTCTTCTGAAAACGCATCTGGTTCCCGAAAGAAAACGGTGGAGCAAAAATTGTTGCTGATTCGGGGGAGGAGGGCTATGCAGGAATAGAGAAGGGAAAATGCTATGGCAACAGTTTCCTGAATTTGGAGACATCCCCTTCTCTCCCCTGCTCTCAATGAGCTCATGGGTTTAAAGTTAAATTGACGCCTCCTCGAACGAGGCCATCAGACAATGCAGTAGCTCCATGTGGGCTTATTTTCCTGTGAATTTTGCTCCCGGGTGCATGAGGACTCTGAACTCTGGGGTCACCTACCCTCCCGCATTATACTGTGACCACTCTGCCAAAAAGGGATGCAAGCAAATCAGAAGTTTTTGAGAGTTATCTAGTGTCTCCTAGGACAGAAATTTTAGAATTATGCCCTAAGTAATGTCACATAGTTATGTAAGAAAAACACACACTGATATTACTCTAAAGCCTGTAGTGGAACAGAAGAACAAATACTACTGGGCTAATTCCTGTATTTACATATTTGGTAGCTTGCTTATTTTTTATTTTTGCTCTGTAAATCAGAATACAGCTTTCAAAAATACACATGCAGTCCTCATCAATTGTAGTGATGTCCAAATATTTTATTCCTTAGAAGATATTTCATAATGCAAATAAATGTTGCATCAGTAATATAATGTTATAAAACAATGTCATATTAAAGGGAAAATTGCAAAGTATTTCACCTGCATTATCTAATTTGATTCTCCCCAATCTTAGAGGGTAGGCAAGGAAAGATATGAGTTACTGTGGTTTTACATACCCCAAAACTGAGGCTCAAATAAATTAAATGACCTTCCCAAATGTCACATGGTCAGTTAGAATTAAAATACAAAAATCACATGCTTTAACTCTGTGAGATTATCTTCATTTCTCCTTATATAATATTTTTACTCCATATTTTGACTTCCATAAAAATCTATATTCAATATCAAATAATAATCTGAAATCTGAAATCTCTATCATTAATTCACATTCTTCAAATTTATAGAATGCTGTTTTAAGTATAATCACATTCTGACATATCTGCCACAAAGTATCTATATAATGTTTTTGGCTTTCAAACATATTCCTATATCAATCATTAGATCACTAGCAATTCAAAGTATAAAGTAATATTAAAATTGACATTATATTTTGACATCTTGACTTTTATGTTTGTAGTTCAGTATTTCATCCAAACATTTCTCAAGAACTTTACAAAGATGATTATATATAGAAGAATTGATGCAAATTTTACAGAACTTAACAGAAATGATTTTATACAGAAGATTGATAAAACGTCAGTTCTCATCAGTTGAAAGTGGAAGAGATAACATTTGTATGTGTTACATTTTTTCATGTTAGCAATTATTATTAAACACTTATTTTCCTGTAGTACTGTAAAACTGGAAAACAATGAGACATGTAATAAAGTATTTATTCTCTCTCTCTCTCTCTCTCTCCAGTATTTTATGAGGACAGAAATGAGTAGATTTCAGTCCAGGATTCACTACTTATTATTTTTGTGACCTTCTGAAGATTTTATTTGTTCTCATCTGAAAAATTGGGAAAATAACTCAGGGGATGGCTAGTTAAACCAAATGGGCCAATGAGTATAAATAAACAAAGTACAAATAGATCCATAAACATTAACCGAATACTTACTACTTCCAGTATGCTTGATGCTTTGAAAACCAAAAGATATTTATCATTACACAAGTAGGAGAGACACCTATAAAAGATTTTGACAATTTCTCTTGCAGTATGTTATTGCAGATATCTTCACTATATAAGTTGTTAAAAGATCAACTGAATTAATTCATGATTATCTGCCTTAATAATAAAAGATTAGGTGAGTAGTAGCATTGGTCATTGATCTTAAAATGTAGTAGTTGATTTACAAATGAGATGGTTGTTCCTTTGAAAATTATACCTGATATAAATGATCTCTTTGTTGACACTGGAGAGTGTACCCTAGAGTACTCAAATGGGTTGAAAGAAGAAAGAAAGCAATTTTAACTCTTTTTTTCTGGGGGGATTATTTTCAAAGCACAATCAGTTTAATGACTTTTTTAATATTTAATCTTAAACATGGCTAACAAATGCCCATTAATTTATCATCTTATCCACTGTGATACATTGCAATAGGAGTTAGGTCATTATACCTACAACTTTCACCTACATTAATTAAATATCTTTCTAATCATTCTGGAAAAAAACTCTTTGGTTCTCTAAAATAAGCAAAGAAGTGATCAAGGAGCAAAATTTGCCATTAAATTGCATTTTAATATATTAACAATGTTCCCCAGAATTTGCTCTACTTTTCATTTCTCAAGTCTAAAAGATGGTAGGAGAAATTGACATAAATATGTACACCTGTGTGGGTGGTAACTGTGTCAATTTTTATTATTGCTGCTGGTGGTCAGTAGAAACTGTTAGGGTGCAGTGTGACCTAAACACACTGGATTTGGGATCTCCTCTAGATCTTCTAGGTCCTTCAAAGGCTGTTTTTCAATTCATATGGATACTTACTGAATTAGCCTTTATGAATCTCATGCCATTGAGTGGTTGCTGTTTTATAAAAGGGCAAGAAGAGGCCCTTGCATAGAACTTTCAATTTGGATGAGAAGAATTTACATAAAGATTCCAGTTAGCCTAGCACAGTGTCTGCATAAATGTTCAGGGGGAAAAAAAAGTAAGACAGGCATCCCAGGTGGGAGAGTGGTTGAAATTGATGAAAAAAGGTCTCTTGGAGAAGGTGAGTCTTGAAAGAAGTTGACAAACTGATGTAGGGTGGAAGGAAGGATACGGATGGAAGAAATATCTATTGAATAGGGAATCAATGCAAAGATGTAACTCTTCATCCATCCATATTTATCCATTTGCAATAAAAAGCAAATTAGGCCGTAAATCAACAATGCCTTATGTACTATAGAACCCCTATTTCATTTCCGTATTTGATAATTTACCCACATATGGCATATGCAAAAGAATGGCCTATGCAAAATTTATTCTAAATAAAATTAAACTTTTTAAGTTGTTAGGGGCATCTTTTCATACTTGGTTGTGCAAGCAATTGACTTGTATTTGTAGAATCAAGAAACAAAACTATGAAAATTAGTGAACAATACTAATAAGAAAAGCGTATTTATAGCTTCAAAAGGAAAAGGCTGGGCTTTGTTGCAGCTGAAATTTGGTTTATTGAGGTTTCAGTTCACTTTACAGTAAAGTGTAAAAATGTACTCCTTGCTCTGTTGTTCCCACAGCCACCAAGCCATCCCTCTGCAACCCACACACAGACAACGGACGCACACCCGAATAACAGAAGCAGAAATAATTTAAACAAACAAGATGCATGCAGCTGTTAAGCCAGACTTTCTACTCACCAAAACTTTTCTTGTGTTCAGCTTATCATAGAACAATTAATTCATTTAGTCATTGCCTTCAAAGACCTTCGCAACCCTTTCTAGGATCTAAACTCTTGTGGGACAGAAACTGAAAAATAAATGTATGCACAAGAATTATTTTTCAGTTTCTATCCCACAAGGGTTTAGATCCAGAGCAAAGAGTACAAAAATAAGTGTGCGCATGAGCAATGTATGCACAAGAATATTTCGCACATACATTGCTAAGCCCTAGAATATTTGGAAAGAATCAGAAAATTGAGTTTAGGCTCCAATGCACTCAGTCTGCATGCCCTTGGTGTAATTTTCCTCATCCTAGTGCTTCTTTGGTGTCTCCTGCATCTACTCTAATGAAACAATGGTTATTTCTGCAATAACGGTAACCAGTGGAGGAAACAAACCACCAGAATAACGGCCTTTTTATTGGCTATGTTCACACTAAGTCCTGAAAAAAATACCATTTATGAGTTCATTTAGAAGAATTGCCTTCAGCATGGGGCAATATAGAGAACTGCATCCTTATAGCAAACCCTAAATAAGTAAATGGTGAGGGGCCAGGTAATCATTCCTCAAAATTTCAGTAGCAAATAAATCATTTTTGTCTTTTGAATCCGTGATTAGTTAACTGTTCTGGTCAGTCTTACATTTTTGGTCAGTGATACACAACTCACTCTGCTATCTCGGGAGGGAGGAAAACCTTGTTAACTTCTGGGCAGGGCACCTTTCTGTAAGGTTGAATTAAAACTCATTTGAGGATTTTAAAAAATCTTTAATGAGTCTGTTCTCCAAGAAATGACATCTGTCACAATAGGCCTAAGGTTAGACTAGCTGTGTCTCATTTAACATATTTTGCTACCTGAATTCTGTGATAATGCAGTACCCTCAAAATCTCTGAGATGGCACAGGAGTCCATTGTTCCCTTGGTTACTACTCTCTCTCTCTCTCTGTTTTTTTTTTGTTTTGTTTTGTTTTGTTTTTTTTTGAGAGTCTCACTCTGTCGCCCAGGCTAGAGTGCAGCGGTGCAATCTTCGCTCACTGCAACATCTGCCTCCTGGATTCAAGCTATTCTCCTGCCTCAGCCTCCTGAGTAGCTGGAACTACAGGCATTTGCCACCATGCCCGGCTAATTTTTTGTATTTTTAGTAGAGACAGGGTTTCACTATTTTGGCCAGGCTGGTCTCGAACTCCTGACCTCGTGATCCGCCTGCCTCGGCCTCCCAAAGTGCTGGGATTACAGGTGTAAGCCACTGTGACCGGCAAATTACTCTTTTAATTGTCTATCTGAAGTTATCTGCATATTAACTTGAAGATGTGTTTGGAACTAAGGAAAATTTATATTAATGGCCTTTGGGAAGGAGGGTGAGAGTGGAGCCCAGAGCCCACTGTCTCCTATTGAAGCTTTGCTTGCATTGTAGCTGGAGTCCTGGAATTCCCTGGGGTGCTCTGATGTTGTAAGTTTAGGACTTTGTTTTTTCTCTCTCTCTCGTTGTAAAAGCATAGCAAGATGTTTTAGTAACAAGGTAGTGGGAAAGGGAGAGTGTATTGGAAAGGCAAATGGGATGGGAGTATAAGAAGCGATATGTTAGTTATGACTTTATTACTCTAGTAGCGACAACATGTGGAAGGAGTGGCTTCAATTCTCTGGTCTTCGACATAGCTTTCCTAAAGGATACCTCCAGAACTACATGCCCCAAGTCTGAGTGATCTGAGTAGGGAAGTAATCTGAGCAATATCCTTTGGCTGATGGGGGGTGGGGTGCTCGGAATTTCATTATTAACATGTAATATCTGAACGTGCAGGAAGTGTGCGCTGCTCAGGACACATGGCCCGTGGTCTGTGGTGTTACCTTTGGATGGCGCGGCGGTAGGTGGGCCTGGTTGCTCATGGCTCAGTATCCCTGGGCTGGCCCGCGCGCCCGCTGCGGACTCCAGACTTGACGGCTTCTGCCCGCGGGAAGGAAGATGCATTCTACTGTTGGGCGCCTCGCTGCCTGCACCTCTGGCTCGCGATGTCCTCAACCTGGGAAAGACGTCGGCGCTTTGCACCCGAGTTGGGCTCCTTGGCACATTCGAGCAGCTGCTCTGGGTATAGCGATGGGTGATAAAAGTCATGCCTACTTGCAACGGCTAGGTCCAAACCCGCTCCAAAGCTCAGGGAGAGAGGTCAGCCCCGGGGCTGGAGTTGAGTACGTTCAGGCCATGGCGACAGGAACCACGGGGTCTTTAGTGTTGGGGTACCTGGAAGAGTTACACATGTCACAAGAGTCCATTGTTCCCTTAGTTAGTTACTGTTTTTACTTGTCTATCTGACAATTTTAAAGGGCGACGAAAGTTCCTGGTAGCGTGGCTCCTCTGAGACTTTCTTTGAAGTTCTTATGCCCCGGGAAGCCTCTGCCGACCTTGCTCTGGGGCGGGGAGGATGGGCGACGAGACAGACCCTGGCGATCACTGGCCGCGGGCTTCTCGGGTCCCTCCCCTGTCCAGAGAAAAGCCTGGAGACTAGTAGGGGAGGCAGGGTATTAAACCGAGGAGAGGGAGGAGACCAGGTTACAGAGGCTTCGCTTCTTTTTCTTTTTCTTTTCTAAACCGCCAGCACAGTATCCGTGCCCAGGGAAATTCCCCCGAAGAGCCCCAACGATCTAGCCTCCAGGTAAAATGGGGAGGATGCTGCGTTCCAGGGCCAGGGGCGCGCGGCCTCGCTGCAGTTTGGTCCTGGGACAACCCCAGGACCTGTAAGAGATTTTCCAAACAGAAAATAGATTCTGCTTAGAGGAGATCGAAGCAGAGACTGCCAACCAGGCGGGCTCCGAGGGCGCGCAGGCAGTCCAGGCGGTTACCCAGAGGAAGCGGTGTTTGTGCGCGGGGCTGGCGCCAGCCCTGGAGACAAGTGGGTTCGGGCCCTAGGACCAGGAGAGAAGGTGGACTCATTCATTGGTGTTCCCTCTGTAGGGTCCCTATTCGCTAAGCTAAGCTCCATGCCCAGAGAGGCGGGAATGAAATTCACACCTCCTCCTACCTCCAACGCCTCAGGGCGCCCAAAGCTGCTGGAGGCTCTGGGCTATGTCAGGGCTTTTTTTCTGCTGTCCCCTCATTCCCCAATCTGGGCATGAGGGCGCGGGAGAAGGGACTTCACCCTAGATCGGAACTGGAGGAAAAATCCAGTCTTCCACCTTAACGGGAGACAAACCGCAGGCTCGCCTCCCCTCGGAAGGTCTCCACCGCTAAGGCTGCTTGGGAGCCCCGGTGCGCACCGCCCCCTGTCCCGGTCCAGCCCGCCAGGTGCGCTGCCCGACGCCGCAGGCGGGATGTAAGATCCCGTGTCTGGCTGCGCTCAAGGGTGGCCTGTCCCCGGCCTCTCTCCCCTGGTCCAGTGAGGGCCATATACGAACTCTGGGAGGCCCCACACCTGATAAAAGCCCTGGGGATTTTTTCAACAGTCCCTCAAAATAAGGGTGTGAAAATATCCCATTCGGTTATTTTTTTCTCCATGGTGACCATTAGGTTTGTTTCAACTTAAAAGCAGATTTGGGGGTGCCCCAGCCTTGCCCCTGCTTGTGAGATCCCCCAGGCCTCTGCTGTCCACCAGAGGTGTCCCCTGGCCTAGCAACCCCGCGTGGGCACCTACCCCCGCAGGCCCCAGGCCCAAATCTATTTCTTCCCCAGGATTATCTAATTCTCCGGGGCCAATGTTTTTCTTCTTCTTCAGAGAAACAGCAGGATCTACGGAAGTTTGTACCCACCGCCTCGCCTGCAGCCTCGGGAGTCTCAACCCAAGCCGGCCCGGCCTTGTAGCCCAGAGCAGCAAAGCCACAGCAGGCAACGCGAGCTAACGCGGGTCGCGCGGAGGTCGGGAGCCCAGGCGGCGGAGGCGGCGGCGGCGCAGTTATTCCCGGGTGACTCTGGGGACTCGTGCAGATGGGGGACGCCTCCGGCCACGCACTTGGAGCCAGCTGCAGCTCCCGGGAGCCTGGCACTGATGGATCGTCTCATTTCCCAACTTGATGGGCCGGAACCTGGGATAGCTGTGCCTGCAGGGAGAGGGTGGGCTCAGGGACCGAGGGATGGGTGGCCCTAGGTGCTGGATTTTGGTTAGGGAAGGATACATTTCTCAGAGAAAAAAACCTGAATTTCCCCTTAACGCGAGGTTATGATCCGTTTTTCCACTTCACGGTCTGAGCACTGGCGCCACGCCCGTTTTCGCCAGGGACCGCGGGCCCTGAGTAAGTGGCAGTTCCCGGGGGCGCCTGGGGCCTCTGAGTCCGCCCGCACCGCGCCACGTGGCATCTTTTCCCACCGGACGCTGCGGAAGCAAAGGACTCGCCCTTCTATTTCCCGGAAAGAGCCCTGGGGGCATGCGGGCAGCAAAAACCCTCCTTCCATTCCGGGTCCACCTAAAGTCCGCATCTCCCCGTGGAATGGGAACTTGGGAACTTGGGCTCTGGTCCAGTGCTCGCTCCGAACCTCCGGGCACTGCGAAGCCAAGGGCCAACCCCGTGCCACGCCAACCAGTTTGGAGGAAGGAGGCAGAACTGGTATTGAAAGTCGGGGCAGTGGTGAGGGAGGGTTGTAGAAGGGTGAGGGAGAAATGCGCATCAAAATGCTTGAATTCCTTCTGTCTGACCCTCCAGCAAGACGAAGAAAGTCGTGCATCCCCTGGGAGGGAGAGGCTGCTTGTCCCTGTCCTGACACCCCACCCCATGGCTCAGGCTGGAGTCAGAGGGAATGAGAAGAGTGGGAAGCCAGAGGCTGAGCTTGGGTGAGAGGAGAGCAGACGAACTGGAGAAGGGTGGTGTTGCGGCGATTCCTGCCTCTGGGCAGTAACCATGAGTTTTTTCCTTTCAGCTTCCTAGAATCTTCCTCCATCTCAAGAAGTGGAACTCCAACTCCGCTCCAAGGCCTACCTCCTTAGCTGGGTCTTGGAGATCACTGAACGGATCTCAAACCTGGGATCTTAAAGAATCCCAAATCTGGGTGCACCTCAGCAGAATACGTTCTCCCAGACCAGTCTGTCAGGAAAGCCCCAGCTCTCTAGCTGGCCAGGAAACACCACATGGTTCGGGACATCTGACAAAGTGCCGTCCAAAATCCAAAGTGTGGTTCTGAGACCAGTAGCATCACTGTCCCTTGGAGACTGCAGGATTGCAGGCCTCATCCAGCCCTACTGCATCGGAACGTGCATCTGAGAGATATCCAAGGACTGTGTACAGTCTGGTTGGAGAAGCCCTTGCCCAATTTACAGAACCTGAGTTTAGCCATTGACAACCTGTTCAACCCTGTTCCTCCCAGCCTCCTCTTCATCACCTGTCAAGTGGGAGCTGTTTTGGAGGTCCTGGGGGGCTCTTATGCACTCCTGAGTGCATTCAGACCAATGGAATCAGAATCTCTGGTTTGCTGGAGCCTAGGCAGGAGTGTGTGTTTTGGGTGTCTCCAGGTGATTTTAATGGCAGCCAGGAATGACTAGTGTAGAAATACCCACTTTACAGATTAGTTAGATTAGCTAATCTGTCTAGCCTGGGCAAGACAATATGTGCAGTGTTAAGCCCACTGCTCTCTGTAGCCTGATTCATTCTGTAGCCTGACATTCTGTAGCCTGAGTCATTCTGACTCCAGCAAGTATGGCCTTGAACCATACTTAATTAGCCAAGTATGGCTAATCAGCTTCGCTGTGCCTCGGTTTCCTTACCCACAAAATGAAGTTGATAATAGTGCCCACCACAAAGGGTGTTTGTGAGGATTTAGAATCAAATGTTTAAAATCAAATTCAATAAATATTAGTTTATGAGGTCAAATCCCCCAATCTCTCATTTTCAACTAAATGGTAGAAGGGCTTGATTACTTATTTATCTCACCCTACGACCCAAAACCCTCGCCAAGCCAAGCAGCCCTCTTCCAGAGCACAACAGCTCGCTTTGCTTCAATATTCTTGTCTAGTTTTGAACATTTTTGGCACAAAATCCTATATTTTAAATTGCTTTGCAATTCAGTAAACCTGACCCTCTTGCAAAGGTTAATTTTGCCAAGTCCAGTAATCCCATTCCAGGTCCATCAGTTTCAGAAGCACTAGTATGAAGGGTGTGCTCAGCTCTGATCCCACCCAGAGATGCTGATTCTGTAGGTTTGAGGTGTGGTGGTGTATTTGTGTATCTAACAAGTTCCTAAGTAGTACTGATGCTTCAAGTCAGAGGGGACGACACCTTGAGAACCAGAGTGTGAAATGAATGGTTGACTCAGAGCATCTCAGGAATCTCAATGGCAACACTGTCCCTTAGAAATGCAATGCGAAACACACACATAATTTAACATAATTTAAAATATCCTGTAGGTACATTTTAAAAAGTAAAAAAAGAAACAGGTAAAATTAATTTTAATAATGTATTTTAATTAACCAAATATATCCAAAATATTTTTCTCAACATCTAATCAAGAACAAATATGCAGTGAGGGTTAACTGAAAAATCACAAGATCTATACATTTCGAAAAGGAGACTTTATTTCTTGTAAAAGTTTACAGCCTGCCAAGTGGCCATCCTACCAGCTGGGAAGTGTAGCTTCCAGCAAAGACCAGAAATAGGCACTTTGAGGGAGAGAGGAATTAGACAGAAATTTTAGTTGAACAGGTTGGCCAAACATACATAGTCAACAGGTTATACGAAGAGCTTCAAATACTCATGAAGGTGGTCCTGAGGCATGTGTACTGAACAAACATGCAGGTAACATATAACCATGTGTGCTTTGGGGTGGAGAATTAACATTTACATGTATTACAATTAGGCCCTACACCTCCTTTTTAGGACACAAAGGCAACCAAGTACACAGCCTCTGTAAACCGGCCAGAATCAGTCCATGGCTGTGGTTTTCTCATCAGGAGGAAGTTAACTGAAATCAGCCTCTTGTCCAATCAAAGCTGTAGTTATGGCTGTTGGAACAGGGGGGCGCCGTTAGTCAGCGGCTGGTGGTGAGCTGCAAATTGTTTTAATATTGCTTCTCTTGAGGCCAGTGCTTGTTTAGCTGCAAGGAGAAAAGGAAAAAACCTTGGCAATTAGAACCTGGTTTATTCTTTAAGTGTGTTGGGGGGGCGGGGGGTGGTGCATGATAACTCTTGCCTGGCATGGGAAGTCCTGTTTGTAATTTGGTGTTTTCTTACCACAAAGAGTCCATTCTGTCAGTCTTATGACCTCTATTTTAACATTAATTATGGTCAGTTATTGTGCCTAAACCACAAAAGGGAAGGGAAATAAGAAGGCGTATCTGACCTCTTGTCCCAACGTGGCCGGGAACTTAGTTTTTAAGGTTTCTCTGCAGTCGGTCTTAGCCAAGAGGGTGTCCATTCAGTTGGTGGAGGAGGGCTTAGGACTTTTAGTTTACATGAGCTATTTTACATTTTTTATTAAGTCTTTGAAGTCTGGTGTTTCTAATATGGAATAGCTATATTTCAAATGCTCAAGTGCCACAAGTGTCTGGAGGCTTCTGTATTAGACAGTGCAGGTCTCAACAATTACTTCAACTAGAACAAAAAGTAGAATTGAGTTTCACTGTTCCCTTGCAAATTTCCAGAAGCGTGCGTAAACCAGAATGTCCAAATAATTTTGCCTTTCTATGGTGTACTAGTCTGCTTGGGTTGCCATAACAAAATGTCATAGACTGGGTGGCTTAAACAACAGAGATTTCTTTCTCATCGTTCTGTTCTGGAGGCTGGAAGTCCAAGCTCAGGGTACCAGCATGGTCAGGTTCTGCTGAGGGTTCTCTTCCTGGATTGCTGAATAAGCCACATGTTGCCTTCTGTATATGTCCTCACATGGCCCCACCCTTGTGACATCATCTAAACCTAATTATCTCCCCAAAACCCAATCTTCAAGTACTCATCACTTTGGGGATTAGGGTTTCAACATATTAATTTTGAGGGGACACAATTCAGTCCATAGCATATGAAGCTGGGTGTATGAGAAAAGTGAGGACAGGACAAAAGAGGCAGGAGTATGTCAGTCATTCAGGAGCTATGAGGCAGGGGCCATTCCATTACTGGTGTGATGACCAATCAAGTTCATGTTTTGATAGGAGATTTAGTAGACATCTGTTTTGCTCTTGCCCCACCGCAGGTATGTACTACTACTTCCTTTACCCATACTCTATTTCTCTCAAAGGAAATACTATCCCCAACTCTCATTGCATAGAATTCTGGCGATGTTGAATCTGCACTGATTACTGGTATAGGGATCAATATCTGACCTTATGAGGAAGGATAAAGCATTTCTCAGAGCTTGTGGGAAAGATATTCTTGTTCTTCTCAGGACTTGGCTAAGAGGATGTAAGGTCTGGAGCTGCCAGAAGGTGACAACTTAAGCTTCCACCATGAGGAAACAGAGTTTCCAGTAACATAGAGAAAATCAGTACTAAGAGAGAGAAATCAGGGCCACAGGACTTTGATTACTTGACTCAGCTGCACTTAAAGCCAGCTGGGAATCAGCTCACCTTCCACATCTTTTAAAAGATGATGGAGGAGGCCAGGTGCGGTGGCTCATGCCTGTAATCCCAGCACTTTGGAAGGCCAAGGCAGGCAGATCAGGAGGTTAGGAGTTCAAGACCAGCCTGGCCAACATAGTGAAACCTAGTCTCTACTAAAAATACAAAAAATTAGCCAGGCATGGTGGTGGACGCCTGTAATCCCAGTTACTCAGAAGGCTGAGGCAGGAGAATTGCTTGAATCTGGGAGAGGCTGCAGTGAGCAGAGATCATGCCACTGCACTCCAGCCTGGACGACAGTGAGAAACTCCATCTCAAAAAGAACAAAAAAAATGAGGGCGGAAATCCATGTTACAGGTTTGTAAGTGTCACAAGTTGGAACAGAGTAGCAAGTTGCATTTGCTGGGCATCTTGTCCTAGCATTCAAGTGCTTTGATGCATTATTATTTAAAAAATGACATTAGTAGCAGAATATGTAACCTTTAGGCCATGTTTTATGTCCCATTTCTTAAGAATGTCCGACGTGTGACCTGGAATCTAAAGTACCTTGGCAATTGGAGATTTGATAAAATATCAAGATCAGAAACCATATGGTAGATGTACTTCTCACAGACAAATAGTCCAACCCAATTACTGCTAAAAGACTGCTCATTACTTCCCTCCAAGAGAATGAAATTTGAAATAGGGTTTGACAGGAGTATAAATAAACACAGATATTACTCCTTCTTATGTGGCTACAATAATACATTTCATACACCTGTGACTGTACCTTTATAGCTTTATATTGTGGTTATTTTTCTGTGCTTCCTGCTAGTTGAGAACTCCTTGAGGGCAAGGACCATATTTATCTGTATCCCCAACACCTGTCATAAAGCCTGCAACACCACAGACGGAAAACAGTATTTCCTGAATTTACACTTCTCTATCACATTGCTTTGTTATTTCCAGGAGTCAGTAATGCCAGCATGGGCATGAAGTGGAAATACATTGTAATCATTATGTTCTAAAAGTATCCCTACGTTACCAAAGGCTGAGGTCTGTTGCAGAAACACTTATGGGTATTTATCAGACACTGTTCTAAGCTCTGTTATAAACAGATCAACAAGACACACACCATTTTTCTTGCCCTTGGACCTTTGTCCTCATTGTTCCTTCTACCTTGAATGCTCTTCCCACATCCTTACTCTCCTCCATATCCCTAGGACTCCTCACTTGCCTTACTCAGGTATGTCTTCAAATGGGACCCTCTCAGTGAAGCCTTTCTTGGACATCCTGTTTCAAATGATACCCTCTCTCCACCCATCCTTCGTCCAGGCTTTGTTTTTCTCCTTATAACGTATCACTTTCTTAACAGCTTGCATTTCATCAAATTTAAGGTTCCACATTATTGTAAACCACACCATTATTTTATGTACTATTACAAAAGCAAAACACGCTGCCAGTTAAACCATGGCATGCCATCGATCAGGACACATTCAGAGTTAGAACTAATGAAACACATTCATTTACATTATTAGTTGTCTGGTCCTTTTTATTAGAATAAAGATCTCAATCTTTTTTTAAAAAAAGTTCTTATTCTCCAGTGCCTTAAAACATAATAGGCATTTCAAATGTTAAATGTGGGAGGATAAAATCCATGTCTTCAGGAGTGAGATCAAGTAAACAGTTATGAAACAATATAATAAATACTCAAGTAGAAGACGGTAGGAATTTTTCTCTGCATGCAGAGAAGAGCGTGTCTCCCTCAGCCTGGCTGGGAAGAGCCTCTCAGGGGAGGTGTTGACCAAGCTGGTCTAGAAGTGTGTGGGAGGCAGATCCACTGCAGGGGAGGATTTTCAAGCATCAAA
Organism: Homo sapiens; assembly: GCF_000001405.40. Classification (NCBI taxonomy): domain Eukaryota; kingdom Metazoa; phylum Chordata; class Mammalia; order Primates; family Hominidae; genus Homo; species Homo sapiens. The sequence continues at coordinate 9,500,658 of NC_000020.11, read as the reverse complement.
GTCCAGGGATACAAAAGAGTATGAAAAACCAGGAAAACTGGAGGCTATTCTGTCTGACCGAAATGTGTGTTGTGTCTAAAGCAGTGATTCTTAACCTTGAACAAGTATCAGAATTGCCTGCAGGGCTTGTTGAAGCACATTGTTGGGCTCCTTCCCCAGAGATTCTGATTCCATAGGACTGTAGTGCAGCAAGAGAACTTGCATTTCTAATAGGTTCCCAGGTGACTCTGATACTGCAGGTCCAAGGACCACACTTTAGGAACTGCTGGCCTGGGGGAAGGCTGGAGGAGGGAATCAGTCATCTCAGCTCGAGTGCTGCTGTACACTCAGCCTTGGTGCATATGCTCAGATGAGGCATAGAGACCACGAGGGAAGGAGGGCAGTAAAGGGCTTTTCACTTCCTCATTATCATGTGCAATAAATAGAGTGCAGGAATTTTTTCTATAGCTTTCTAAGTCTGGGGAAAGCAAACACTTTTCCTTGTGTCCAAGATGTCCCCTTGTTTTTTAAGACTGAAAGAGAACAAATACACTAACTTTTGTCTACACCAGACTCCTTTAAAGAGCAATGTCTCCATTGTATCCCAACTCTTAGATTACTGTTTCCATGAGGAAACTGAGGCCTGGAAGATTAAGTGCTGGGATACAACTCCCCTACTCCCAGCTTTTATATCCCCATTAGTAAAAGGGAAAATAGGGCCTAGAACTCACTGTGCTGCTGCCAAGACTCTCCCTGCCCCTGTCTGCTCCTCAGCATCCACAGTGTCACTACCACCATCTGGAAACTATCCAGACTATTCTCCTGTGTCCTTTATCCCTACCCTGTCAGGGACCTCCATGAGCCCAGGCCCTCAGCTCCTCCTTATACAGCTCTGAAACCCCCCATAAGAATGTCATCTCCCACCCCACTTATCTTCTGGAACTCATGAACAGTCATCAGCAAAATTCCTGAAATCTGCAACTTCTTCTCTGCAAATACCCCTCCCTTGCTTGCTCTAACTCAGATCAGGATATTCTATGAAGGGACACTGCTTTCCGTGCAGCCCTTTCAAGAGGGAGCTGTAAACTCCCAAACTTTAGTGCCACTGTGTCTGAAGGGTGTGTGTCTCCTTTAATCTTCATTGTTGTTCTCCCAGACTACTGTCTTATTTTTCCCCCCAAGACAGCCCCTTCTCTCTCAGCTTCATATCTGATGTTATCGGACTGTAACTCCACTACTCTTTCTCATGCAACCATGTACTGTTACTCCCATCCCAACAATGAGTGACGCCTCATTCTCTGAATATGTTAGCTATCGACTCAAGATCACTCTCTGTAATGTTCCTCCTCCTCTTCCTCCTCTTGGTGGTTTCACTATCCATAGCTGTGGCTTTCTAATCTCACCAATTCCAGTCCCTCAAGCTCCTCCCTACTAATGGTCTTCTCTTAAATTCTACCTCAGCCATTTAAACCATGATCCAATTACCTTCCAGTCACCGATTCATTTCTCTGCTTCTTTTCATAGCATGGCTCTTTGAAATGACTGTCTACAAGCACTATCTCCATGTTTTCTTCCCATTCTCTTGAGCCCACTTCAACTGGGACCCACCCAAGTTGGTCTTGTTGAGGTGTGATGGTCTTTGATGTGTCAACTTGGTTAGGAAATTTTATTCAAACAGTAATTTAGGTGCTGCTGTGAAGATATTTTGCAGCTGTTATTAAAGTCTATTATCAATTGACTTTAAGCAAGGGAGATATTTTAGATAAACTGGTGGACCTCATCCAATCAGCTGAAGTTCTTAAGAGCAGAGCTGAGGATTCTCTGGAGAAAAAAACAATCTGCCTGTGAACAGAAGCCTGAGAGTCCCAGCCTGTCCTTCCTAATGCCTATGGAATTTGGACTTATCCACTTATTCCCCCATAATCACATAAGCCAGTTCCATGCAGTAAATCTCTTAACAGGTATCTTCTACTGGTTTTGCTTCTCCATGGGTTCAACCTAAACTGATACATGAGGTTTTTCAGGTTTCCAAGATGCCAAATTTAATGATAAATTCTCAGGTCGTACTTGACTTAGCCAAATTTGACAGTTGATTATTTCTTTATCAAGGCCCTTTGCTCATTGGCTTCCAGAACAGTTCACTCTCTTGCATTTCTCATGAGTCACTGGTTTCCTCACAGTTTCCTTGGCGACTCTTCCTCGCTTGTGATTACTTTTTTTTTTTTTTTTTTTTTTTTTTGAGACAGGGCTTTCTCTGTTACCCAAGCTGGAGTGCAATGGTGCAATTACAGCTCACTGCAGCCTTCACCTCACAGGCTCAAGTGATCCTCCCATCTCAGCCTCCCAAGTAGCGGGGAGTACAGGCATGTGCCACCACACCTGGCTAGTAGTTTTTTGTTTTGTTTTATTTTTGTAGATACAGGGTCTTCCTATGTTGGCCAGACTGATCTCAAACTCCTGGGCTCAAGCGATCCTCCCACCTTGGCTTCCCAAAGTGCTAGGATTACAGTTGTGAGCCACCATGCCTGGCTTGTGCTAACTCTTAAGATGGAAATGCTAATCCTCAAACATCTTCTTGTCTCTTCCTACTGTTCCATCTGGCTGAATCTGCAGCTAGAGTTGCCTCAAAAGTGGTGGCAGGAGAGTTCCCACTAGGGACTGCTTCAGAGTGTTCTGAGATGGGGCCAGTGGGGATTCCAAAGAAGCGCTAAACACCAGGTTGATTGTCCAACGAGTTTCTTAGATGAATTTATATAGACAGGGTGCTGCAGCTTCCTTGTGAGGGACAGTGATACAGGAGATGTTTTACCCAGGTATGTCTCCAGTGAAGGGGTTGGGTTATGAAGTTTATCTGGAAGTTTAAGGAATTTGGCTCAGAGCAGGGGCTAGTTTCTATGTGTTTAACAACATGTTTGACCTTTTAGAGTTTTGGGCAACAATGCAAACAAGTTTACCAGTGCGTGGAAATGTTGAAGGCCCCAGCTTGAATTTAAGGCTTCAGGGATTAAACATGAAGCTGGCCAGGTCACAGGACAGTCAGAATACAGAAAAAAAAGTGGGAGGATCTGGAAGATTATATGCTCTACACTCACTCAGTTGACTGTATCATTCAGTTTTGTTTCTTTAAACAAAATGCATATGTTCATGATCTCAAATGTTTGCCAAATGCCTACTCAACATCTATACTGGGTTATATAAAGCCGTTTATAACTAAACATGTCCACAATGGGGTTTTTTCTTTTTAGAGACAGGGTCTTGCTCTGACACTCAGGCTGGAGTGCAGACACATGGTCATAGCTCATTGTAACCTTGAGCTACTGGGCTTAGGCAATCCTCACAAATATCTGGGTCTACAGACACACACCACCACAACCAGTTAAATGCAACCTTAAAAATAATTTACAGACAGGGTCTCACTGTGTTACCCAGACTGGTCTCGAAACTCCTAGGCTCAAGAGATCCTCCTTCCTCAGCCTCCCAGAGCACTGGGATTACAGGTGTGAGCTGCTGTGCCCAGCCTTAATGGTTAATTTTATCTGTCAGCTTGGGTAGGTTATGGTGCTCAGAGGTTTGGTCAAACACTAGGTTCGATATTGCTGTGAAGGTATGAGATATGATTAATATTTAAATCAGTAGCCTTTGAATAAAGTAGATTACCCTCCGTAGTATGGGTTGGCCTTATCCAATCAATTGAAAACTGTAAGAGAAAAGATTGAGGTCCTCTGAGAAAGTGGGGAATCTTCTCCAGGCTGCCTTCAGACTCAAGCTGTAAAGTCAACTCTTCCCTGGGTCTCCAGCCTACTGCTTTCCTGCCGATTTTGAAATTGCCAGCCTCCATAACTGTGTGAGCCAGTTTCTTAAAATAAACCTCTCTCTTTCTCTTTCCACATTCTATTGGTTCTGTTTCTCCAGAATTCTGGCTAATACAAAGTTCAAAACCAAACTCCTAATGCCTCACCCTTGCAAAAAAAACCCTGCTCCTTGTCAAACTACTCCATTAAAGTTAGCTACCGCTAACTATAATGGACCTACGGGGACATGGAGAATGAGTGTCTTGCCAGGCTGAAGAAGCCTCAGTCTCTGAGCCCACAGGATGGCCAACCAGCCCTGGAACAATGATCCCAGATTCTTCGAAGGAAATAGAATGCTAACATGTTTAAGCTACAGTTAGAAGGTGTTTTTCATCTTTCACAGCCACTTAATCCTTACTGCTGGGCATTTCTATTGGAGGAGCAGCAAGAGCAAAGGGCTCTTTTAGAGACACGGTCTTGCTCTGTCACCCAGGCTGGAGTGCAGTTGCGTGGTCATAGCTCATTGTAACCTTGAACTGCTGGGCTTAAGCAATCCTCCCAAGTAGCTGGGAGTTACTCAAACCAAAACTTTCTAGACCAACACTGACTCCTCCCATTCCATCATAGCCCACATCCCATCCAATCTATCAGCAAATCCTGGCATCTCTCCCTTCAAACTAGACACATGATCTGACCACTCCTCACCATCTTCATTGCCCTCTCCCTGGTCTATGCCACTACTCTCTGTCATCTAGATAAGTACCTCCTAATCAGCCTCTGCTTCTGCCATGGTGCTGCCATGGCCAGTTCTGCACATGGGATCAAGAGTGATTCTACAGTGTAGGTAAGGCTTTGTCATGCCTTCCTCGAAACTCTGTAATTGTTTCCCATTTCATCCAGATGGAAAAGCCAGGCCTACCAGGCTTTACATGATTTGGCCACCCTTGCCTCTTCTGCAATCACTCAGCCCCTTGGCTCTGCTCCCATTCTGGATGCTCTCCAGCCCCTGGCCCTTTGCTCTTGCTGTTCCCTCCACTGCAGATGCCCAGCAGTAAGGATTAAGTGGCTGTGAAAGATGAAAAACACCTTCTAACTGTAGCTTAAACACGTTAGCAGTCTATTTCCTTCAAAGAAACATCCTGGGATCATTGTTCCAGGGCTAGTTGGCCATCATGTGGGCTCAGAGACTGAGGCTTCTTCGGCGTGGCAAGACATTCATTCTCCATGTCCCCGTAGGTCCAACCAGCATAGAAGAGCACAGGGCACAGGAGGAAGAGGTTAATGGAGAGGCCACTGCTGTATTCTAAGGAAGGTTCGCCAACACTTCCACTGGACACTTCTCCTGACGTTCCATTGCTCAGAATGGAATCATATGGTCATATGTTCATACCTGGCTTCAAGGGAGCCTAGGAAATGTAGTATTTACTCTGGGAAGCCATGAACCTAGCTGAGATCCAGTTCTATTCTGGAAGATGATGGGTGGAAGGATATTGTGGGGAACACTAGTACTTGCTATCTCAGCACCTTTTGGAATGACAAAGATGCACAGTGTGACTGGGGTAGATTGATATGAAACTAGATTGGAGAGGCAGGTAGGTATGGAAGGTTATTTCCAAAATGGCTGCCCAAAATCTCTCCCATTCTTGTATATTAATATCCTTCTTCCAATCAAGAGGTGGACCTATCTTCCCTCCCCTTTGAGTCTGTGAGTCTGGGCTGACCTTATGACTTAATTTGACCAATGGCATAGACCAATGGAATATCATGGCCTAGGCTTTAAGAATTGATTCTGGCAGTTTCCTTTGTTGCTCTCTTGAGATTCAGCGTCCAGGTAAAGAAACTTGAACTTGACCACTAAATGTGGAGAGATATGTGGAGAGGGAGCGAGCAGCCCAGGCAGACATCCCAACTGGGGCACCAGATGTGTCAGGAAAACCATGTTGGACATTTCAGCCCCAGCTGGGTTCCCAACCAAGCACAGCCATACAAGCGACCCCAGTCAATACCAAGTGGAGCAGAAGAACTAGCCAGCTGAGGTCAGCCAACCTAGAGCACCATGAGAAATAATGAATTGTTGTTGCTTCAAGCACTCAGTTTTGGGATAGTTTGTTATGCAACAATAGATAACTGGAATAAAGGGCAGAATCACATGAAGGTTTATAGGCTTAGGAAAGGAGTTTGGCCTTTATTTTTAGTGGAGAGGGAAGTATTATGGGATTTTAAGCAGATGACCTGCACAATCAGTCTGATTTATACTTTAAGAAGATCACTCTTCTACTGCGTGCAGAGAGGATTGCACGAGCTCAAGAGTGGATGCAAATGAAACCAGGAAGCTGTTAGAGTGGTCAAAGCAAGAGATGACATTGGTTACAACCAGGGTGGTTATCTCAGTAGTGTTGAGAAGTGATTCCATTTCAGAAATATGCTGGAGGAGGAGCTGATAATACTTATCGATTATACCAAAGGGACAAGAGAAAGCCATTAATCGAAGATAATCCTGAGAGTTTTAACCTGAGGCTGGGAAGGAGCAGGCAAGAAACCCAGGAATTCTAATTTGAATAACTTAAGTTTGAAATGCCCATTAAATTTCCAACGGCAGCTTTGAGTATTTGAGCATCAACAGGGAGGTCATTGCTGGATGTATAAACCTGAGACTCTGATTACCAAGGATCCTTCTTGCCTCTTGAAAGTTGGGTGTGTTGCTTTATCCTTGCTCTTAGAGTGGGGTCCATTTTCTCATACAAATGCAAAATATCACTGAACCCAAATATTAGACTTTTACATTAAGAAGAAAATTTAGAAAGGCACACTGTCTTTGAGACAGAGTCTCATGATTTTCTTGGCACCCGGCATGCATATCTGCTAGACTTGGGATGATTAATGGACAAGATTGTTTGTGACCCACTTATGGGCTGTTTCTTCCATTATAAAGCCTTTGAAATCTGGAAAGCTGGCTGGATTCAGTTTCAACTGGAAATGCACCATCCTTTTTTTTGTTGTTAATCATTAAACAAAGCCCACAATGCAGTCATATCTTTAGAGGTTTTATTGTTACTAAAATATAGCACACATTACGGTATTTGTGTCTTTCATGTTTTCTGTCCTAATGGCTAGAATATCTAAGATGGGAAATAATAATGCAGAGCTGGTTAGTTCTCACTGACTTTGATAGTTAATTTTGATAATTCAAGAGTACCTTATTTTAGATTATTCGGGACTTTTGTTGTTTCTATTTCTTGCGAATAACGTCCATACCGGAGGATAGCCAGAGAAAAAGAAAAGAGGAAGCAAATAACTCTTAATATTTTTTCCTTATCAAATAATCCACTAAGAAAATTTCAGGATGTGTCTTTTTGCATAACATTGAGGAGTCTGCCATCTAACAGGAAAGTTAAGGCACATATATGAACATCGGGCACACTCCAGCAGCTGGAAGTATCATTTTTTTAAACAAAGTAAGTCTACTTTGAATGTTCTCTCCCAATGCTGCTAACTCTCCAAAGTTGAAGGGGAGCCCACTGCAGTAGACACTTTTGGTGCCCCACTCATATTCCCTTGTCTCCTCAACCTCCCATAGCTTTAGTACTATCTCATTCATGCCTAAGACTTCCTGCCTCTGGCACATGCAGCTCTCTCCCTGAGGGCTTCTCTGGCTCCAGGAGCTTGCTTGGCCCATGAGGGGCTGGCTGGAGCTAGCTACTAGGGAGTCACTACCCTCAAGAAAAACTCCCATCCAAAGAGAAGGGAATGCTGATGGATAAATACCCCTTGTCTCCACCCTGGTGGGACAATTCTGAGGTGTGTGCTACACCATCCTGCCGAATATCTAGGGGGATTGTGCCCATCGCCCACAGAGGTAACATTCTCCGTAATTATTCCTTTATTGTTTTACTTCCATCCCCCAAACCCTCATTCTATTTCCTGGGATCACCTCCAGATAAAATACTTGCACTCAAATTTTTGTCCGAGGCTCTACTTTTTGCAGAACACACACTGTGACATCCCGCACCATTTGTCTTCTTCTTCAGAACCACACAATCACACTACGGCTTTTAAACACCTGGGGAGTGGGGGAGGTGCCCACTCCTCAGTCCCAGAGGTCACTGTAGCCATTGTCTCCTGTCCAACCCAGCAAGGGCAAGCGTGCCGGGCCCAAGGAAGCCTTCATTCTTGGCAGCTCTCTTTGTCTGCAAAGGTTCCAAAAGCAGCAGAAACCAAGGCTTGGAATCAGTCAGGCAGCAGAACCATCTAAGGTTCTGCCACTTCCTGGCCCTGGACTTCAGAAACCCTGTGTCTTTGAGGGCTCCAAGGAGACTTTGTTGCTTCTCCTCCCCGAAAGCTAGAGTTGGGTTCCTGCCACTCTGCCTCTGCACCCCCATCCCTCCCCTCTTCTCTACTCTAGGGTAAATGGGCTAGACTGAAGGCTGGCAAACTTTCCTTGCAAAGGGCCAGAGAGCAAACATTTTAGACGTTGCAGGTCATATGGTCTTTGTTAGAAATCTTTGACCCTGTTGTCATAACGCAAATGCAACTAGAGGTCATATTTAAGTGGATGAGCATGTCAGTGTTCCAGTACAATTTTTTTATGGACACTGAAATTTGAATTTCATATAATTTTTATGAATCACCAAATATTTTTCTTTTAACATTTTTCCAACCACAGAAACATAAAACCCATTCTTATCTCATGAGCCATATAAAAACGGGTGAGAGACCAGATTTGGCCAGTGGAATATATAGTTTCCTGACTCGTAGACTAGACTTTCAAAAGCAAAGTTCTGTTTAGATTTTATTACCCTGCTGAACTCCCTTTTTGATTGGCATTCTTTAAACCAAATCTAATTAATATTGGGAATGCATGGGATTTATCAAATCCTGAGGTATTATCAACAAATAAATCCTTCTAGTGCAGGGATCATGTTTCTTTGCATTTTCCTCACAGCACCTTGTATGATGGTATCCATAAATTAATTTATAACAGCACCAAAAGCAGGGAGTTTATTATTTGTTCATTTATTTTATTTTATTTTATTTTGAGACCGAGTTTCACTCTGTCACCCAAGCTGGAGTGCAATAGCATGATCTTGGCTCACTGCAACCTCCGCTTCCAGGGGTCAAGCGATTCTCCTGCCTCAGCCTCCTGAGTAGCTAGGATTACAGTCGCCCACCACCATGAGCTGCTAATTTTTTTTTTTTTTTTTTTTAAGTAGAGACGGGGTTTCACCATGTTGGTCAGGCTGTATTATTTGTTCTTTACTGTGCTAAGTGCTGTACTGAGGGGCTCACTCACTCATTTCCTCATTTGAAGCAGAAATGATAAAAACTGTACTAATAGGTTGCCATGACAATGAAATGACATTGTGCCTTTGACAAATGCTCTTTGTTCATTGTAAACTGTCAGGTGGTTTTGTGTTCATGGTTTTTAAGAATAGGATGTGATGATCTCTATGACAGTGTGGTGGTTCTACAGAGAACAGAAATTTGGACCCAGGAGAATAAATGGGTTCTGTTTTTTAATCTCCATGGTGTTGCTTTGTGACCTCAGATTCAACATTTGTACAATGGTGATAAGGTTCTCCATTTGCCTGTAACATGAAAATTAAATGAGAGAGCTCACTAAATGCTATAAACATGTTAGATTTAACTTTAACATTCGGAGTCTGTGCTATGAGTGTGTGTGTGTGTGCGCGTGTGTGTGTGTGTGTGTGTGTGTGCGTGCATGTGGTGTTTAGGCAGAAATCTAAGACGGCCCCCAATACTCTCATCTCCTTGTACATGTACTCTGAATAACCCCTTCCCATGAAGCATGGGCAGAACCGTGAATCTGATAAATTTAACTTCCTTGATTAGGTTGCATTACCTGAAATGGGGGAATTTTGCAGATGTAATTAATTTAGCAGATATAATAAGTCAAACCAGTTGACTTTGAGGTAATCAAAAGGGAGATTATCCTGGTAGGGGTGACCTAATCAAGTGGGTCCTTAAAAGGAACTGCTAGATCCTTCCTGAAAGAGGAATGCTAAAAGAGATTCTGCTGCTGGCTTTGAATGGGTAGGCTGTCATGTTGTAAAGAGGACCTATATATACGGCCTTGTGACAAGGAACTAGGCAGCTTCTAGGAGCTGAGAACTATCCTTGATCAACCAACAGCCAGCATGGGAGTGCGGATTTGAATCATATAACTGCGAATAACTGAATTCTGAAAATAACTACTTGAACCTGGAAGTGAATCCTGAGCCTCAGATGAGAACACAGCCTAGCTGACGCTTCACTTTAGTCCTGTGAGATTCTGAGCAGAGAATCCAGCCACACTGTGCCCAGACCTTTGACCTACAGAATTGTGAGATAGTAAGTGGGTTTGCAGTAACTCTGTGGTCATTTGTTATGCAGTAATAGAAGAGGAATACAATGTGAACTTGCAATCTACATGAGGTGATAAGAATAAGTGTGTAAAAGACAAAAGTCTAGAACTAATGGCTAACAGACGTGGTCTGGGTCATAAATTCTGCATTCCATTGTGAGTAGGGAAGAATTTGGAAGGGTGTCATGGGATGGAAGCATCATAGACAAAAGATTCCTGAGATCCATCTTTTCTCGTGAAAGGAAGAAAAGAAAGCATTTTGTTAGATAAGGTGGGACTGGAGCATGGGAAGTTTGTGCCTCCACATAGTTTGAGGTCATGAAGACAAAGACAAGCGAGTGTTTCAAGAATGGGGCAATGGTTGACTGTGTCAAACATTGCAGAGAGGTTTTGATGAGCATGTAGAAGAGACACATGGGATTTGGCTAGGTGAAGGTCATCCACATCTTAAGCAATGCCAATGGACATGATGGGAGTTTAACAGTGAGTTTACCTCCACATTTGTAATCCATTGATATTTGACAAGGATGCCAAGACAATTTGATTGAGAAAAAGTTTTTTCAACAGAGGCTCGGTAGATCTCTAGAACTTATGTAAAAACAAAAACAAAAACAAATGGTTCTGGGACAACTAGCTATCCATATACAAAAGAATGGCATTCACCCTTACAGTAGATATAAAAAGAATTCATAACGGATCAAAGACCTACATGTAAGAGATTAAACTATACAACTCTTAAAAGAAAGCAGGCATAAATCTCAGTGACCATGGATGAAGCAATGGTTTCTTAAATATGACACCAAGAGCACAAGCAACAAAAGAGAAAAATAGACAAATTGAACTTCATCAAAATTTAAATTTTTGTGTTTCAAAAGACACCATGAAGAAGGTGAAAAGGCAACCCACAGAATGAGAGAAAAATTTTGCAAATTATATATCTGAAAAAGGACTAGTATCTAAAATGTGTAAAGAACTCCTACAACTCAGTAATAAAAAGACAACACAATTTAAAATGAGCAAAGGTTCTGAGATATATATTTCTACAAAAAAAGATATACAACTTGCCAATAAGCACATGAAAAGATGCTTAATACCATTAAGGATCAGGGAAGTGAAAGTCGAAACCATAATAAGATACCAACGACACACACACTAGGATGACTATAATAAAAAAGGTAATAAGTATTGACAAAGATGTAGAGAACTCAGAATCTTCATACACTGCTGGTGGAAGTGTGAAATGACGCAGCCACTTTGGGAGACAGTCTGGCAGTTCTTCAAAGAGTTAAACGTAGAGTTACCATGTGACCCAGCAATTCTACTCCTAGGTATATACCCAAGAGAAAAGAAAACATACATCCACACAGAAACTTGTATGTGAATGTTCATAGCAACATTATTCATAATAGCCCCAAATCAGAAACAACCCAAATATCTATTAACTGATAAATGAATAAATAAAATGTATTATCTTCCTTTAAAGCTTGGTATACTGAAAAAGTTGGAATTTGTCTCTTCAGAGGTATCTAATGAATATTACTCTATTAAACATCTTATTGAAATGAACTTTGCTAACCAATTATTAAAAGTATATCAATCTAATACATTTTTCCAAATATTTAAAATCATACCTTTATATATCATGCAAAAATAATGACATGATATTATTTTAAAATTCCTAAAAGAGTTTCTATAGAGTATGTATTAAGATGAAGAGGAGTTCTCAGCTAAAAAGGTAAACACAGCCACAAATGATCTTCAAAATACCACTCTTTGAACACTTAGGATATGCCTGGAACTGTATGTATTAAATGATTCAAAAGCTAACTTGATTCTCACAGCAGCACCATGAGGTAGGTGGCATTACATCCATTCTACAGATGGAAAGCTCCAATTCTGCGGCATTAAGTAGGATGCCTGAAGTCCGCAGTTAGTGAATAGCGGAGTTAGGATCTAAGCTGTAGTCAGTGGGATCCCAAATTAGACTGTTAATTGCCACACTGACTTCTACAAGTAGAAAGTTTCATCTATCTCAGCTGATCCCAGTTGCACCCATTTCCATTTTGCTTTGCACTATCATTTAATGTTACTGCAGATCCCCTTGGGAGAATTTATGCCAAATTCATCATCTGGGTTCTCTTTAATCTGACAGCTGCCACCTTTCCTAAGTGGATATTTCTGCTATTTTTCTCGGGTGTGTCATTTCCTGTCCCTTGTGAGAGGCTCTCTCTTAAGTTACTCTTGTATTGTTTCAAATCATTTTCTGTTGCAGACTTGGAGAGTTGGCATGGAAAATGCTAGAAGGGAAGAATAAAGAGAGTCTATTCCACATCCAACTCTGCCTCCCTCACTCAGCACAGGCTTTTGAGAGGAGTAGAATAGTTTCCTTGTGGAGCAGCAAAGCCTGCTGAATTAATTTTATGCTCAAAACTCTTCTGAGTAATTATGCCTCTTCGATGGTTTCCACTAGGCAACAGGCTTCAGAAGTAAACTTTGTTATTTTGGCATCATCCCTATTGGTCTTCTGAATGTGTATATGTATTTTTGTATACTAAATTATATTTCATTCCCCCCATTCTCTTTATACCATGAACATATATCTATTGCTATATTTTTAAAACATGGGTTTAATTGAGAATTATACATGCAATGGAAGACACAAATCTTAGGTGTATTCCCTGATTCCCTGATCAATGTTTACCTGTATAAACACCCATGTAACCTCCACGCAGCGTAAGTTATAGACCAGCAGTTCTCAAAATCTTTGGCCTCAGGGATTCCTTAACACTCTTAATATTTTTAAAAAACTCAGAGTTTGTTTATGTGAATTATATCTGTAAGCATTACTATGTTAAAAATTTGAAACAGGAATTTCAAAATATTTCTCAATTCAATAAAAATAACAAAACTGTCACTTGTTAATATATAACCAATATTGTACTATTACAATAACTTTTTTGTGAAACATAACTGTATTTTCTAAAAGTTGGTGGGAGGAGTGGCATTGTTTTACATTGTTGCAAATGTCTTTAACGTATGGCTTTACAGAAGTCATCTGAGTTCTAATGTCTTTTTCTTCATTCGGTCTGTTGTGATATGTCATTTTCACTGCAGTATATGAAGAAATCTGGCCTCCCACAGAGACGGATTTGGAAACAAGAGGACTACACAGACCCTCTGACAGTCTCTTGGGGGACACAATGGCTTGCCAAGGGATCCTTGATACACACTTCGAGAACCACTTGCATAGACCATCACCATCATCCTGGAAGGTTTTTTCAGAGAGGACCACTACTCTGACTTCCTTCAAGATTAGCATTGCCTTTCCTTGATCTTCATGTATGTGGAATCATAAGGTAAGTACTTTCATGTGTTCTACCCTGTGAATATACTACATTTCATCAATGCATCCTCCTATTGGTACACATCTGATTTGTTTCTAGCTTTTTATTATTATGAATAAAGAACATGCTTTTTGATGAACACATACACAATACACTCATTTCTTTTTTTCTTTTTTCTTCTTCTTTTTTAAGATGGGGTCTCGTTACGTATTGCACGCTGGGGTGTGGTAGCTATTCTTGGGTGCGATCATAGAACACTACTTTGTACTCTGGGATTAAAGAGGAGGCATAGCCTTGAATTATATTGTCAGCCTCCCAAGTAGCTTGGACTGCAGGTGTGTATCACCATGTCTGGCTTACACTCATTACTCTTAGAGTGTAATTGCTGGGACATAAGATTGGCAGACGTTTAGCTTAATAGACTTCCAAGCCTTAGAAAATATTTTTACTTTGCTGAATTTTATTTCAGCATATATTATTTAGCATAATATACTTTTAAATTATTCGAAATATATTTAAATACATTCCTCTTATTAATACCTAATATATGCTCCTATATTTTTCTTTTAAGAATTTTGCTTTAAAATCAGTCTAACTACTCAATACCATATATTTCCATTGCTAGACTATTGCATTTAAAAAATCTGTGTCCCATATTTTATGCAATTGGACAAAGTAATGTGGTAAAGTAATTCCCCGTTTATCTGCAATTTTAGGACCCATAACTCAAACAGACCAGTCCGAAAGCAGCTACTTAATATTAGCATCCAAGACTGTGGCAGGAGGTCATTTGAGTGACCAGGGAGCCCAAAGGAAAAAGAGAGAAGGTTTAGAAGCAAACCAAAAAAATGAAAAGACAGGGAGGGGGAGGGAGAAAGTCAAAGAAGAAAGAAGAAGAAGGAGTAGGAGGAGGAGGAAGAAGAAGGAGGGGGAGGAGGATGAGGAGGAGGAGGTGTTTGTCAAATGACAAAGTTAGTTGAAATCATCAGCAGTCCAGCTTAGAGGAAGTGAACAGCAGACACTCAGAAGGTTACAAATAAAAAGAAACCTGAGACATCAAACATGAGGCTTAGCAGCTGGAATCACTCCCTGAGAAAACCATGTTCCGTGCCTGTAGGTGATTCCAGTGGCTTTTGAAAGCTGCAGTCTCTGGGACTTTGAAATGAGACTGTTTTATCATCTTCCTGTTCCCAGAGCTTGGCTGTATCAGTTAGTTATGGCCACATAACAAAAAATATCAAAACTCAGTGGCTCAAATCAACATCCATTTCCTATTTCTCATATGGTTATAGGTTGGCTGGGTGTTCCCACGGCTCTGGGAAAGGCATGGCTGATCTCAGCTGCAGGCTCACACATCTATTGTCAGCTGGTAAAATGAACGAGATAACTCCACTCTCTGCAAGTCGCGCATACCCGCCAGCAGGCCAGCCTTCTCATGTGCTCTCACGGCAGTGTCAGAGACTTAAAGTGAAGAAACAAAAATGTGCCTCCACTCGTGTCCAGTTTGCTGCTACAGCTTGAGTGTTCCTTATCCAAAATGCTTGGGACCAGAAGTGTTTCAGATTTCGGTTGTTTTTAGATTTTGGAATATCTGCATATACATAATAAGATATCTTGGGGATGGGATCCAAGTCCAAACACAAAATATATTTATGTGTCATTACACTGTATACACATAGCCTCAGGGTAATTTTATACACTGTTCTAAATAATTTTGTGCATAAAAAATTGGGGCCATTAATGCCACCCATCTACCTTATGAATATCGCCTAAAGCTAAAACTGTTGATAAGTTTTCAAAATAGAGTGCATTACTGGTAAAAAAACAAGTTGAAGGGCTGGATACGGTGGCTCATGCCTGTAATCCCAGTACTTTGGGAGGCCGAGGCAGGCAGATTGCCTGAGGTCAGGAGTTTGAGACCAGCCTGGTCAACATGGTGAAACCCCATCTCCACTAAAAATACAAAAATTAGCCAGGCATGGTGGTGCGTGCCTGTAATCCTAGCTACTCAGGAGGTTGAGGCAGGAGGATCACTTGAACCCAGGAGACGGAGGTTGCAGTGAGCCGACACAGTGCCACTGCACTCCAGCCTGGGCGACAGAGTCACTCTGTCTCAAAAAAAAAAAAAAGAAAAGAGAAAAAGTTGGAAGTGTGTAACAGTGAAACACTAAAAGAACATAACTGACCCCATTTTTGTTTAAGGGGCCTTTTCCTGTTCCTGCACATAGGCTAGGCTAATTTGGGCACACAGATAAAATACAAAAATAGCCATTTTGTATTTGTACTCTGGGATTAAAGAGAGAGTATGTAAGCAACTATGTTTTGTTAAAGATTTATAGGAACATTGTGACTTGGCTAAAGACAAAGACAAAGAAGTTTCCAACCTCCTCAGACCCTTGTTGGCACTCAAATGTCTGCAGTTGTCAGTCACCTCTTGATCCCAACTCCTCCTCTTCCCACCACCCTTAACATAAAGAGTCTGAAATGAGTACTGACCAAAGATGGTACTTTAGGACGCTAGTCCACCATCTTCTCAGTTTTCTGGCTCTTTGAACTAAAGTCACCTTCCTTGTTCCAACTCCTTGTCTCTCTACTTACTGGCTGTTGTGTGGTGAGCAGAATGAGTTGGAACTGGGTTACAAGGGTAGAGAGGTTAAGAGTGGTTTTCCAATAAATATTTAATCCATGAACAAATAAAGTTAGTTCAATGCTGAAGAAATGTCTAATATAACCATTTATATGGCTACTTGATGTAGTAGAAGTGAATTCATAATACAGGGGTACAGTCTGTAGGGTTCAATATGCTGTGCTGTAACAAATACCACACCCTAACAAAATACCAAGATTTGTCTAAGGAAAAACAAAAGATAGAAGTGTTAAAAGCTGCATGTGAATTTTGAGAAAATCCATGAATTGCTTGAAAAGGGTAAACAATTTTGATGGATCAGTATAACATTTCCTCATTCACATTATATGATATCAAAGTTCCGAAATGACAGATGGTCAAATCCTTTTTCTGTCTGTTTTGTTTTTGGTACATTCTGATTCATCTAAAGCTATTGAGTCCTGATGCAAGTGATTAGGTATACAATATTAAATTGGCCTTCCTTGGAAATTTTTCCTAATTTTATTGTGCTGGACACTCAAAAATTTCCAGGATGAAGTACTTCAGAAATTGCCCCTTACCCTGAACTTCCAAGAAGGTAATGCTAGGAGAGGAAAGGAGTGGAAAAGGCACAGCATCATTTATCACGATAAGTACAGTGTAGACACCAATTTTTTAATGTAAAAGCAATGATGCTGCTATTTTAACCATCTCCCTACTCCCCCCACCCGCCTAATATTTTTTCATTATTCTAACCTATGGAGCAGAACGTTTTCCACAAAATATTATTAAAGAAGATGGCTCATAAATATTCATCCCAGAGGTATCACCAGATTTATTATGATATTAAAGATGCAATTAAAATATGTGCTTGAGATTCCGTTCAACGTCAAGCATCAAAGAAGAGTTGTAGAAATGTGTGGCCTTCTGTTAGATTTGCACAAGTGATGAAGAAGGAGAAGCTAGAGTTTTGAACGAGGCGTCCCTAAGATAACCTCAGCAATAAAATAATAGGGGTATTCCTTCTTCACTCTCCATAATCTCTTAATGTTGATGGATCCACACTGTTAGATCCGTGATGGCCACTGTGATCATTGCACTGTTTTAAAAGTATGCTAACAATAAGTATTGAGAAAAATTATTTTTCTTGGAACTGAAAAGACACTTTGCAAAAAAGCTTCTTTTAGGTTTTCATTAAGTTTTCAAAGGCATTTCCTGCCCAAGAGTCTATACAGATGGTTATTTTACTTCATAGAAAATAACTTAGTAATTCGATATCTAGTGACTACCTCTTCTTTGAAGAGCAACTGAACAAAGCCTGAAAAGAAATTAGTCAGGACTGGTGGAAAAGTCTTATGCTTAAATAGCTTTTAAAGTATAAATGGATAAATGAAAAAGGGCAGGTTACTTCTTGCTTGGGAGAATGAGAGAACTTTTCAGAAATGGCATTTTTGGAAGTTGCTTTTCAAGACTTAATAGAACATTATTATGTAATGTGGCTAGAAAAGATGTGTACTATGTGTATGTGAACAGAGACTAGTGATAAATTCATATTGACTAAAATGAGTAGGCATGTTGGGGGCAGAAAATGAATGCTGTTATCACTAATTTCAACATTATTCTTTAGGCAGTAGACAGGAATTCTGCATTTACAAGCAGAATGGTAATATGATTGCAGGTGTCATTTGGGAAGATTAATCTCTGTGTAAAAGGGATTTGGAGGGCAAAGAAATTGAACAGCAAGTTTAAAATTCTGAACGTTGAGTTATAAGGAAGGAGAAGAAAGTTTCCAAGACAGGACAGAATTCATAAGTTTTATGAACAGATTGGGTGCTGGAGGAAATGAGATGGAGCAGAAAAAGATGGCCACAAGGTTTAGCACTGCTTATGGACTATTAAAATATGTGGGGAGGACAGATGGAGAAAGAGTCTCTATTTTTTTTAATTAATCACATACAATGTGCACATGGCCGCCTATTTAACTATTGACAATCTGAGAGGGAGAGTCAGAGCTTCGGGAAAGAAAGGTAAAGGCTAGAATTATAGATTCGAGAATTACATGCAAAGAAGTAGAAATCAAAGGCATGTGATTGAAAGAAACAGCTAAAGGAAACAAGATTCTTCAAATAAAGACGGTGAAAGATAGATTTCTTCCCCTTTTTGAATTGCTTTCCAGGAAGCTCATTGCTAAATTTGAAACTCAGTTGCAGAATGGTTCCTTTTTGGAACCATTTTTCAGTTCCACAAAACCAGTTTCAGTTTTGTGATAAAATGATTCTCTTGTGTCCTATCTTTAAAATTTCCTCTCCTCTTTAAGGCTTAGGGTTGAGGAGTTTGTATACTACTTTTGGAATACTACATATTTCATGGATTCCAAGATGTATGTATTTTTCACATTTTAACATCTCTGAAATTGGGATGTGCCTTGACAATCACCGGATAGGGTATTATAGTTTAATTGGCAGTGTGTTTCATTTTGTGTGGTATATAAAATAATAGTATAAGCTATAATCAATAATGCCTTCAATTTGATGAAAGATGGTACTTTCTGATGTGTTTCCCTATCTTGGTAACCTGGCTCTTTTTCCATGAAGCCTTTTATTCCCCCAAAATGTGAAGAGCAACCTACTTAGGAAAAGAGAAGTATAGTACTGTATGGGTATTCCATCAGTCAGGAATGGGAGTTGAGTATCTTTTCTGGGCTGAAAGAAAGAATAAAGGTAAGAATTGAGACTCAAGTGCCCTGGCTCCCAAATAAGAACAAAAAGTTCTGATGGTGGGAGAAGCAAGATGTTGTAGAAACCCAGATAGTCTTGGGGCAGTATAAAGCTTGCTTGCTTCTTGCTTTTTGGGGCATTGCTCTGGAACATTTCAAGCCTCCTGGATTTAGAAAACTCTGTGGTATTGAAACTACATGGCCCTAGTAGCTGACA
The DNA here is from genome assembly GCF_000001405.40 of Homo sapiens. Lineage (NCBI taxonomy): Eukaryota > Metazoa > Chordata > Mammalia > Primates > Hominidae > Homo > Homo sapiens. The sequence continues at coordinate 9,481,645 of NC_000020.11, read as the reverse complement.
AATGACCAAAGGAGTGTTTTGATGGATGGACCTGAGACAGCATCTTTGGTTCCTGCACAGCCCCCAAAGACCTGGAAGTTCTGCATATCCCAGAAGAATGCTGGAATAAACTGATACCAGAATGAGGACTTGGCTGAGCAGGGACTTTGAACCACTGGGGTGGGAAGGCCCACTTTGCAAAGCTGCAGTAGAGTGCAGTTAGGACCTGTCCAACAATGGGGAAACCAGATGCTCCTACCAATTGCCAGGTGGACACGTGAGCTTCCCTCATACCCAGATGCCATCTGGGGAAAAAAGCAAGATCTCCTGAATGGGGAGGGATCTCTAACAGGGGATTTGACTCTCAAGTAACTAAACATGTCCCTGAAAATGTTTTTTTTTTTTTAAAAAAAAAAAACAAAACTGGAAGACACTGAGTTACTTTAATTGGCTATTAATTTTTCTTCATAATAAGGGATAATGCAAGGTTTGAGTGCAATATGAACTGACAATAGCAGGTAACACATGCTTTTGTTGCACATTTGAGTTGTGTGTACATTTTAATCCTACTACAATGGATTAATGGTATGATGTCTCAAATACTAAAAGTAACCTGGATCAAAGAAAAACAAACTGGTTCCATGTATAACACTGGAAAATATAAATGCTTATGGTGGCCTAGGAGGATGAAAAGAGGGAAGAAATAAGAAAAATGGAAAAACTAGTAGTACCTCTCCAAAGCAGAAACAAGAGGAGGCAAGTGATGAATTCAGTCAAGTGTTACAGAATGGTGAGCATAGTTGAGCTCTTGGATTTGATTTGATTTGATGATGAGAAGCCACTCAGAATCTTTGAAAATTGGCAATCCAAATGTGGTGATATTTTATTAACCATAATTTTTCATGAGATGTTAGTGCCAAAAGATATGTAGTCTAACTCCACTGTTTTACAGATAAGGAAACTAAGAACAAGAGATATTTTACAGAATCCACTTCAAATCATAAATAGGAGAAAAACAAGTCTATTACAACTGAAGTCAACTAGAATCTGCATGTTTTGCATCATTTGGGTGAAAAACATGCTGAGGGTATTAATAAGCCCCCTTTGAAAATAACGATGATATCATGTATATGAAAAAGGCAAAACATTTGCTAGAATGTGTCTTGGGAGCAAATACTCTTGACGAGTGTTATGCGTGTTTTAATTTTTTATTAGAGAAGTTGGAAGTTTAATTTCAATATTGATGGTATCATCATTTTCTCCGCTTTGTTCAGAGGAACACACAGAATCAATTTTTACAAGCATATACAACAATTCATCTGGTGCTGTGCCCTAAAATCAGTAATCTGATTAGTTCTAGACTACCGGGTTTCCATGCGCTCCTCTTGGCTTTGGTGGCATGGCTCAATTCCCAGCGGAATACTTTTTCATGCACTGTCTGCAACTCAACTACAGCAGGCTTAAAGACCATGCAGATTAACACTGTAGCAAATTGTTTTGATATTTAACAGACATAAAAAGGTCATTTCCTGATATGAAATTCTGAAAATCTGCATAAATATTTTTGTGTAAAATTAAATTAGTTATGTATTTTTTTCAAACTAGAACTTGAAGTATCAAGAATGCCCACATAATTCATATACACATATATATATAGAGAGAGGGTTTTTCATTATGCTAAAAGTCTTGATAGTCAAATTATATTCTGTGCCATACATTTATTTAACCAGTATTTATTTGGCATTAGGTTAACTGTGTATGGATTAGTCTTTATTGGTGCTTGTGTATCATGCAAACATAGTTCTAGTATTCCTGTTTACTAATCTTGTCATGTGGCAATACTTAGATGATTTTGCTCTCTAACAGTGTGAATTAAAGAGTATAAATACTTTATACATGGTCACATTTACAAACGTTTGCCAATAACCACTTCACAATCTTTATGGTGTGAATTATAATATCCGGAATCTGCAGAAACAATTCCTATAAAGCAATGTCAGATGTAAACTTTCTTAAATGTGCCTAACACAGTTCTCCTTTGAGTAATGATGAGTTTTGGCACACATACACTGCTCTATTTTTCTATTGTTCTAACAATTTCCACAACTTTTACAGGAAATTAGCCTCTGATGGCATGGTAGAGACATGGCACTTACTGATGAGGTAACTTAGATGTAGAAAAATTTTGCAAAATTATTTGTCTAGCAGACCACCACTTCTGCTAATAAACTTGTAGACAGAGTTTTCTTTTCCTAGTGCATGCACTTGCTATGAAATTGCTAATGCACTGTTTTTTGTTTTTGTTTTTTGCTGCAGTTCAAACATGTCCTAAGGCATCACAAAGGAGAGTTGTTCACACCAAGCTCATTTACTTGTGATGGTATTTTATAGCAAACATGTTTAAGTTGTATTATCAATGGTTGGACTCTGCCTTACTGGAATAGTAAATTTTTGTGGATTTGTAGCTATTTTTGTTTGGCCAAGGAAATGCAATACTCAAGCTGTTAAATAGAAGTCAGTCAGACATTCCAAGTCTCTCTGGTTTCAGATATCATCTTGTTTACACATAAAGGAAACAAAATAAACAGCTTTCATCCATGGAGTTTGTGTTCAGAAGTTTGTGAGTGAGTCTTTTGATGCTTTGTGGGTTTGCTGCTTCAGTTTGCATTTTGGAGTTTCATACTACTGTTGCTGGTCTGCGGTCCATCTCGGCTTCCAATTTCACCATCTGCTGCATCTCCTTCGCCTATAACATCAGAAACATGGCCTTACGTGTGTTGAAATCCTTATCTGAAGGCACTTAACAACCCTGGCCTCTCTTCTCCCATAAATATGATCCTGTCACCACATCCTTGCTACTCAAAATATGGTCCATGTACAAGCAGCATCAGCATTGCCTGGGACCTTCTTAGAAACGTAGAATCTTGGAGTCTACCCCAGATCTATTGAATCAGTTAAAATCTTCATTTTAACAAGATCTCCAGGAAGTTTTTATACACATTAAATTTTGGGGACTGGTTTACACAGTGCCAGGAGAACCACTTGAGAAGAGGGTAGACCACTTGCTTTATCTTTAGACCATACCACAAACTGTTTGATTTAGTTTCTACAGATTGACACGTTGCTTTGACTGTGTGTAGATAATTTTATCACATTAGAATAAGTATTGCTTATGTACAACTTATTTCCTAAATAGCCTGAAATTTAGTTAAAAGTAATTCCCTAAAAATCTAATTGATAGAGAAGTTCAGGTGAGAGCATATTACATTGGATTGGCTGGAGTCTTCTGTAAATGGAATGTTACAGGAACATGCAGGCTTTCAGGAATCTTATTGTGCAAACTCTATCCCTGTGGGCTCTTACTTCTCTAGGGTACTTTTTATGGACTACCAGGAAGTAAGCAATGGTGAATTCAACCTCATGAGTTCAGATTGTCACTAAGAAAACCAGCTAATTCGAGAAGAGGAAAGGGGATATGATGGGGGCAGTGTCTGGTGAGAAATACTTGCTTGGAAACATAGGAAAAAATCAAATAGTACATTTCGACTTTTATTATCCAACTGGTAGCCTGGATGATTTTGCCCAACCAAATGCACGTATCTTTTGAGGAATGATGATTGCCCATTTCTTTTTTTTAGTGACATGCTGCTTTGAAATAAAGGACATTTGAAAATAGAAACATGGACCTATGAAGATATAAATCGGATGAAGATTCTGAAGTGCCCTGATGTTACTATTTATGTCTGCTTAGATATTCCAACTAAATGGAAGGTCACTGGGAGGGGATTTGGTCAACTCTGTAGATATATGAGAAGCATCTTCCAAATGAATTCTTGTGACAAAATTAATTTAACCCACAGACTATACTGTGATTTCCTTCTTCTTCTTACTTCTATATTTTGGCGTTAAGCTTCATTTTGGTGAGGATGGATATAATAACACCAAAGAATTAAATCTTTCTGTGTAAATTTGGGATGGTTGGTTCCCTCTGCCCAGATATTTTTTATGCCTAAAGTATAGTAATACTCTAATAGAGAAATGAAGAAATGGAGAAAAATATACAAACATGAAACTATGACACAAACAGTATTCAAAAGGGATGACAGTGAAACATTATCAGCACTGGAAATTAAATACTTCCAAGTTCGGTAAATAGTAGCAAATGATTCTCTGTGCTTGTCCCCCTTTAGCTTCTGAAGAAAGTATTGACCACGGTGTAGAAGGAAGAATCATAGGACATTACAAGACTATTCCAACAGCTAAGTTCTTATATGAGTTGGGTGACCATTCATTCTCATTTGTCTGAGGCAATTCCAGTTTATGCCTGTAGTCCTAGATATTATAAACAGAGCTGCCTTTCACTCTCAAAACTATCCTGGTATGGACAATAAATTATATGACCACCTTACTTATGAGGAGTGATTAGGGTCTTTGGCAGATGGGACTTAGCAGAGAGCATGACAAGAGTCATCGTGTAAGGTTTCTACATGCACAGCACAGCTCCATCATTAAAAACCACCAACCAACTTTCAGCGAGCGCTTTAAAAATTAATTGGAGTCATATTAACATTTGTGAGTGACCTGACTCTGTGACCCTGTCTTAGCTCTGGTCAGTCCAAATGACAGCTGCACATCACTGTTCTGGTTATGTCTTTATTACCATGATCTGTTTCCTAAATCTGCAATAGAAAATACAGGTTCAAATACCCTCAGAAGTAATTCTCTAAAGACTTAGGGCATTTTGGCATGAATATGACATCAGAAATCCAAGCATGGAATAGTCAAGCTTTTAAATCCAAACCCTTCAGATATTAGTTATGACCAGATGTGACTCATAAATGGAGACTGCACAGAGAATACGGACGTAGTCGAGAAGGAAAGCAACGTCTTGCTTATCAGAGTTTCGGTCCTACCTTGCGTTTGGGACACTGCATGACAGGATTTCAAAAGCTGTTTGTACAAAAATAGTAATGTCAAAATTGAGTCATACATACAAAACGAAGAAAATAAATGAATATTGAAGTGAATTTGAAAAATGAATGCAAAACCATATACAGAAAAGCAAAAAGCTAAGGATAAAACATGTACACACCCCTCAGTGACAAACTTTCCCCTAGTTGATCTCAACAGAAAAAAAAGAAACGAAACAAACAACCAACGCCTGTCATTCCCAGACTGTGCCTCTCTTCTGTGGCAGTAAGTGGAGAACCTGGCCTTTAAGCAAAACCTTTTACCTCTCTTTATTAAATGATAGGATTGATGATAAAAATCAATTTTTGAGACTCGAGTGTGTGACAGTAATGGAGTCGTTAATGTTTGAAATGGTACATGTCAAGACAGATGAGATATACTGTGTAGCTGGGAAGTCTATGAAAAAACTCAAGTAGGAAAAACATCCCCAACCTTCAGAGTGTTAAGTGAATAGTTGGCTGACCAAGTAGGCAAGGACATAAAGTGGCTTACAAATAACCTAGAAGGTGAGGATCCAGAATCAGGACCAAAACATACTGACGCCTGGTTTGTTTCTGCCAGTGCCCCCAACACTGGTTTAGCTAATGGACTGAATCCATTCCAGGCCTTGCTTTGGAAGGGGAGATTTGGGACACCGATTAGGAGTAGGGTCACAGGAGAACAGAAAGAAACCTTTGAGGGAAATACTATGGGAGAATGTTTACATTTATCTCTGGCTTAGAAAAAATGTCTTGGGATTTAACAATTATTTAGAAGATTGTTGTAGAAGTTTGCATTGTCTGGAGACAAAGAACTGTTCTTGCTGATGAAATGTTTACCTGGTTATGAAGGCAGTTATACTATATAGTTCCAGACCTTGCCTTTTTATGAGGAAAGAAATGAAGTCACTGTATCTTTTGCACTGTGCCCATGACAGTGTTGTACCATACAGAGTAACTGTGAATTGAGAGCTTTCTCACCCTTAAATGCCAAAAAATGTATACTAGAAAGATCTGGGATTGAATTTGCAATTGAACAGGCCATATTTCTAAAGCAAAGCTTAACACAGAAACTCAAGTCCAAATTCTTTGCTTGCCAGAAGCATCAGTATGATATCTTGAATGTCTTTTCCTTGAATCTCATTAAATCTTTATCAGGTCTCAAGCCTTTTCATGTTCTATGCTTTCCCAAGCTTTTGTGACTCAAAGTGTCAGTTGTGGGTGGTAGACCTTAAAAGACATATTTGAATTTCTGCAACAAAAAGCCAGCACCCTCCCAATACAATCTAATCAATACAGCTATCACTAATCTAGCAGTTTAATGCAAGAACTCTGGTGTGGCTTGAATTAGCCATGTGTTAGGATAAAAGCTCAAACTGATTTTTAAAAATTATGTACTTCGGCTCCAAAGCTAGCGACACAAGATGACTGTTTTCTCTAGCTCTGGCATACACCACTATTGTAGTGATGAGTAATTCTGAGCACATTTACATTCTTTAGTCAAACTTGTTGCTAAGCAACACAATTAATTTCCAAGTAGTTTCTTAATTTAGTTAACTAACACATAACTGTGCCTTACCTTTCACTGTGCCCTTCCTCTAGGGAGAATTTTTAAAAACCTTCTCCAAGGCATCCTTATCCCTACCCATTGTTGAATCACTGAAGTGGCTTCTAAAGCTTTGGAGATGGTGACTTTATCCTTACTCATATTCCCATATTTCCCCCAGGAGCACTTTCTGAGAAGTGCTTTAAGAGCAAAAACATAAGCTAGGTAACTTGTACCAGAATGTGATGTGTTTATGAGTTGGTCAAATGAATTGTACCTGTGGGACAATAACCATGTATTGTCCCCTTGGAGTGGACTTGCTTATGAATAGAAGCACTTAGCTGAAAAGGAAATGGGAAACATAACTAGGAAGTATGTTGATGAATAAAATTTCTGTCCACCAAAAAGTAAAGAATCTGAAACTAGAAGTCAGATTTATCTGTTACCCAATTGCCATACAAAAAAGATTTTATTTTATTTTATTTTATTTTATTTTTACTTTCTCAAAGGTACTTTTTAGTATAATTCCTACTTAAGTATTCTTCAAGGGGAGTCATTTACTCTGGAAAAAAGTATTCCTTAAATAGGATTGTTTTATAGATGGGAGAAAACAGGAAGGAATAATGTGGCACAAGTACATATTTCATCAAAACCTCTCCGTTTCTAAATTGAATTACCTAGGAATAATAACTTCTATACCAACTACACCTAAAGAATAACATTTGAACTGAGAGAGTCTGAAATGTAAATGATAACTGAGGGTCTTGTTGCCATAGGAACTAGAGGGATTTCCATTAATTAAAGGTTACTGTAGAAGGCTGATGGGCTGTAGCCCATTTGGAAAGGTGCCCACCTGTACTATGCACCAGATAAAAATACATTTACCTTGGTGCTGGTATATGCCCATTGGCCTAACTAAACAGTTGGTGTTTGGGTAACTCCTTTTTTTTTTTTTTTGAGATGGAGTCACTCTGTCGCTCAGGCTGGAGTGCAGTGGTGCGATCTCGGCTCACTGCAACCTCCGCCTCTTGGGTTCAAGTGATTTTCCTGCTTCAGCCAACTGAGTAGCTGGGACTACAGGTGCATGCCACCAGGCCCGGCTAATTTTTGTATTTTTAGTAGAGACGGGGCTTCACCATGTTGGCCAGGATGGTCTCGATCTCCTGACCTCCTGATCCACCCTCCTCGGCCTCTCAAAGTGCTGGGATTACAGGCATGAGCCCACTGCGCCCGGCCTGGATAACTCTTTATTTGTGTATATTTCTTTATTTAGTGTCTTGTCTTGCAGGGAAAAAGACCAAGACTATGGTATCCACTCATGCTCAGTGATTTGTAGAGTGATGGGGGCTCATGACTTTAGATACCACCTGTAAGTCCCAGGGAGGTTTTTAAACTTCGTTTTCAGATTGAGTTTGAAAATAGGTGGTTTCTCTCATTTGCTTTTAAACATCATATCCCTTGCCTATAGTTTGCAAATTATAAAACTCTAAATGAAAATGGAGAAATACTTCGTAATCTCTTTTTTTCATCCTCTCACTTTTAGTAATTTCATTCTTAGAATTCACATAATCCCCATAATTTATCCAAATATTCTTTTTTTGGCACAGCCAGATTCTGCTCCTGCTCCAAAAACTGGTACTTTCTTTTCTTTTTGGATATAATGGAGAAAATATAGTAATGGGCAACAAATTCTTCTATCTACCTTTCAATTACAATATGCAAGCCACTGGTCACTGTGGGCCATGGCATGTGTATCCCAAAGCTGGCTAGCTGCCTGCATGTTTTTACGTATTTTAGGTAAAATACCTGCTCATTCTGTTTCTCTAGGAATTCTAGATGTTCAAGCTGGACTTTTTTCAACTGATCCATTTCTTTGGACTGCTTCATGGCAAGCTGCAAAAAAAAAAAAAAAAAAAATTCTGATTGAACTTTGGGTTACAATCTTAAAACAGGGATGAGAGATGACTTGTAACTTTATAATTTAAGTGAAAGAGATAATAATTTTTTAAAAAATCATCTCAAAATTTGGAGAGTTTAAACTCATAATTATTTCTGGGAAGATCTTTCCTGCTAAAATCTTAGAAAATAATAGAGGACTTACGCATGACTAAACCTGGCTTCATTTTCTGTATAAAATGGTGCCAAATCATTACCTTAAAGATTTTAGTGAGACATTATTTTAGCTTTCAGGGAGCAGAGAAGCTGGAATGTTTAATGTACAGAAAAATCAAATTAAACAAATTAGCTAGAGATCTGGTGGCTAAGCATGTTATTGTTTATAGTTTTTTAAAGGAAGAATGCCAAAAATATAATAAAATACTTACTCTCTTTCTTTCTTCCAGAAACTTTTTAGTGTTGCTGCTGTTTAACTCCCTGACTCGCCTAAAAGCAATGGGCACAAATAACGGTTGGTATGACATTGAATGAAATTAATATTATATCAAATAATAAAGAGCTATATTCCATCAAATTCTCTGGATGGAATTATTGCTTTATTTTTCTAATTGTTATTGCAGTATTTTCAAACATATAATGTCCAGAGAAGAATATTTAAAAATCTGTGTATGTGTCCCTCAGATTAACTGATATTTTTAATGTTTTGCCATGTTTATCTCACATTTTTAAAGGCAATAAACAGTTCCAGATGTAATTAAAGCCCCATGTGTATTCTTCCTGATTCAGTTTTCCTTATTCCTCTCTCCCCAGAGGTTACCACTATTGTGAATTTGGTGTGGATCTTCTCACCCATGTTTTAATATTTTAAACCACATACAGATGTGCCCATGTGTAATATAAGAGCTTCTCAAACTTTCCTGTGCATACCAATCACCTGGAGAGATGATAAAAACCACAGACTGTTGTGCCTTCCCCTTAGTGACTTTGATCCAGTGGGCCTGGGGTGGGAGGTCTGAATTTCTAGTAAGCTCCCAGGTGATGCTGATGTTGCTGGCCAGGCACAGTGGCATCGCTTCCTGTGTTTTCTAAATGTACCCATAGAGTAACATAGTCTGGGTTTCTTCCCATAGCTTACCACTTAGTCTTATGTTTTAGAGATACACCTATGTTCCAGACCACTTCATTATTTTCATTTGCTGTATGGACTTTTCAATTTATGAACAGACTACACTATTTCCTCATTGCCATTAACAAAAATTAGGTTATTTTCAAACAACGCTACAACGATCGGGTGCGTGGGCCCTGTAATACCTGACACAATAAGTGTCTGTTGAATAAACAGATGAGTGGATGAAGTATGGTGCATATCTTCTTGTGCACACAGGCAAAGGCTGCTGTAGGGTGTATACTCAGACTTGTCACTTGGCAGGGTACGAACAGGCTCTTCCTTACTCCAATCCAGTTGTCCCCAACTGCATTTCCATCTGCAGTGTCTGGGTGTTACCCTTTCCCCATATCTTTGCCCACTCTTAGTACTATCAGACTTTCTGTCAGTTGGATGCTCCTATGGAATGGAGCTTATTGTCTTAACTTGCATTTCCCTGACTACTGGTGAGGTAGAGTGTTTTTCATGAGTGAAAAGACCTATAACTTCTTGAACTTCTGTAATAATTGCCAGTCTGTTCAGGTTTTCTCCATTTTCAGTCAGTTTTGGATATTTATATTTTTCAAAGCAATTCTCCACTCCATCTAACGTTTCAAATTTATTGGTAGTTTTTTTTAATAGTAGACTTAGTTTTTCAAAGCGTTTTTCTCTGTAGTTAATTCCCCTTTTCATTCCTAACATCACTAATTCGTGCTTTCTCTCTCTTCTTTAGTCTTGGTGAAAGTTAACTGATTTATTATTCTTTTCAAATAAGCTTTTGTTTTTCTGAATGTTCTCTATTGCATTTTGTTTTCTATTTCAGTATTTTTTGCTTTTTAAATTTATTTCTTTCCATCAGAGATCTTTGGGTTCACTCTGTTTTTCCAACTTCATATTCTCTTTGAGTGGTTAGCTCATTAATTTTCACATCTTTTAAAAAATATATGCATCTAGGCTATATTTTTCCCTCCAAATATCACTTTAACTACCCTCTACACATTGATAAATAGTGTTTACATTGTCATTCAGTTATAAATATTGGGTAATTTCTGTTAAAATGTCTTCTTTGATCTAAAAATGTAAGTATGATTTTCAGTTTCTATGTATCTTTCTTAGTGCTATGACAAATTTTTAAATTTTATTTCTCCTCAGTTTGATAAAGTGGATACAAACATACACACAGTATGGGTTTAGAATATAACTATCATTTGGTATAGAAAAATTATTTTTTAAAAAACAGCCAATTTGTAGATATTTTGGAACCACATACCACTGGATACAAACTTATAAGAGATAGCAGAGTAGGGTGACTATACTTAGCCACAAATGTATAGTACTTGGGTGATGGACAACCTAAATGCCCTGACTTGATCACTGGGCATTGTATACATGTAAAGTTTTCTCACGTACCCCCATACAGTTGCACAAATAAAAATAGAAAGTTACAACAAATAAGTACAGTTTTCAAAATAAGATAAATTTTTAAGACCCTTGCTAATTAAGTTAGCAGTAACTCCAAATTGAAGATAATTTGACCTCAACCGAGCTAAAGTCTACTTTGTAACATATTTGAAAAAGATGGTAAAAAGCTATTAATTGGCACATTTGTCATGGTTAATTCTATATTTCACTTTGGATAGTCTAAAACAGTTCAAATTCATGAGGTTTTATCATGGCTGGAATATTTGGTGTTTTCAAACTGAAGAAGGTGTCATTTCCATGTATATAAGGCCCTTAAACAAAGTTGCTTATCTGAGAATAACATCCAGAGAATGACATTTTTTCTTTTCTTTTTTTTTTTGAGATGGAGTTTTGCTCTGTTGGCCAGGCTGGAGTGCAATGGCAGGATCTCGGCTCACTGCAACCTCCGCCCCTGGGGTTCAAGCAATTCTCCTGCCTCAGCCTCCTGAGTAGCTGGGATTACAGGCAGGTACCACCACACCCAGCTAATTTTTTTGTATTTTTAGTAGAGGTGAGGTTTCACCATGTTGGTCAAGCTGGTCCCAAACTCCTGACCTCAGGTAATCTGCCCACCTCGGCCTCCCAAAGTGCTGGGATTACAGGTGTGAGCCACTGCACCTGGCTCATAAAACAGCTTTTCTCTGTTGGACTTTGGCCAAAAGGCCACCTTCTTGCTAGGTATTATTCCCCCAAAAGAAGGAACCCCACTGTCCCTAACTGCTGGTGGCGTAATCCAGGCTCTTGGTTATGGAGCTGATAGCATTTGTATTCTCAGATGTTCCTTGAGGTGGATGATGGGCAGCACTGGTGATCGCTGGGAATTAAGTGCCTATCCCTTGGGTAACATGACTATTGACAGCTCCTCAGATCCCCTTCACCAGCTGTGTCTAAAGGGCTTGCACTTGGCACCTTCTATAGAGGACACACAAACCTTCCCCCCAGTCTCAGGCGGCCAATGACTGCCTAATATGGAAACACAAAAGCCAGGTACTCTTGCTTCAAAGAGGGACAAATCTGTGGTGGAATTTTTTATTTGAGGTTACTGGGACCCTAGGTGAGACCACATCCTTGCTTAGGGCCTGCCCTGGGCCTTCCTGCTTTCTCACTCCCTTTCTCTGAAGGTCCCTTCCTCAGTGAATCACAAGCACATCAATTCCTGCCTTGATCTGCTTCCAGAAAACTCACCTAACATAAGGACAAATGAGACAAATGGGATGGGGGCTTTCAAGATGATCCCATGTGAAGGACTACTGAAGAAGACCGCCCTCCTGACTGTTGCTGCTATTCAGAACTGGCCCATCCAGAACGGACTGACACCTGAGCAGGGGAGAGGCTTGCAGAATGACCCAGTGGAACCTGGGAAGGATGCTTCAGAATTATATTGATTATAGGCTGGGCGCAGTGGCTCACGCCTATAATCCCAGCACTTTGGGAGGCTGAGGCGGGCAGATCACTTGAGGTCAGGAGTTCAAGACCAGTGTGGCCAACATGGTGAAACCCCATCTCTCCTAAAAATACAAAAATTAGCCAGGTGTGGTGGTGCATGCCTGTAATCCCAGCTACTAGGGAGGCTCAGGCAGGAGAATCGCTCAAACCCAGGCAGAGGTTGCAGTGAGCTGAGATTGTGCCACTGCACTCTAGCATGGGTAATAAAGCAAGACTCCATCTCAAAACAAACAAGCAAAAAAAAAAATGAATAAAATAAAAAAAAGAATTATATTATTATGTCATATTTTATGCAACTTTGTTTGTAAAGCAGCACATATATATTGAATGTAAACTAATTTTACTGGTGGTAGTAAGCAACCAGAAAATGTGGACGATTGTTCTACAGTGATAATAACAAATCTCCATTGCAGTTATAATAGCAGAATTCCTAGTCAAAAGCCACAAGTGTTTTGCTGTCTCAGTTGTGTGTGTGTGTACACACATAAAGAAAGTTGAGACTGTGTCCTCAAGTCAATGCCATATTCCTGCAGTGAACACTCTCAGACTTACCTTTCCCGTTCTGCTTTATTCTTGATAGATTTATCTTGGCTGATGGCTTTGCTATTTTCCATAGAAATCTTAGCCTGGTGTGCTCGCATTTCCTTGCTTTCCCTATGTATTAAAAACAAGAAAACAAACAGGGAGGGGGGATGGAGAGTTTGTGTTTAATGGGTAGAGAGATTCACCTGGGGAAAATGAGAAAGTTCTAGAGGTGGGTGGCAGTGACGGGTACACAACAAAGTGAATGTACTTAATGTCATGCACTTAATGGTTACAACAGTAAAGTTTACATTTTATATATATAGACATAATTTAAGCATGGAAAAAAACAAAAATACTTCTGTTTATAGCAATATGACTAGGCTCACTCCTCTCACTCTTCTTTTTTTTTCTTTCTATTATTGAGCTCATCGACTTCTGTATTTTGGAAAAAGGAGGGACGGGACCCCAAGCTATGTGGATGCTGATCCTTGAGGGGCAGTGGCCACCTAGTGGTGAAGTGACAGTGATGGCCTGTGATGAGGAGACAGTATTTTTGCCCATAAATATAAAGATCTCAGTTTTGCTTCATATTATTTGGGATCAGATGGGCTGGAAGAGAGAGAGAAAATGTTCTAACCATCACAAACGGCCTTCCTGTTTCTATCAGCCACAGGAATGAAAGGGACTAAATGGTTTCAAGTAAGCACAGGGAATAGCAAAAAAGTAGGTTTGCAGGTGACCAACCACTGCATGTGGGAATGCATGTGTATGCATGACACACATGCATTAAAGGAATAAAACTTAAAATGCTACATAGTATATTATTACAAAAATTTTTTTCTATAACCTATGGAGATCTATTGAAAGCACTGCCTGGAAACCAGCATACAAGCAGTCAGGTTACCTAGGCACTGCTATTTGCTCTGCATCCAAAGAGATGGGCAATACTGAACTGGAGAGTTGCTCACTCAGCTACCCTAGAGCCACTCCAGCAGGAACATGTATAGAAACTCTGGACACAAGAAGATCACTCTCAGATTTTACCATAACTTGTTAGGAAATTGACCTTTCTGTATTCATTCATTCAACAAACACCAATGACCAAACGTTGCTGACAAATGTCAAGAAAGCAAAGATTTTTAACCAAGAATAATAGTTGTGATCATGAGGAAGAAACACAACCACCAGGGGTTTGAGAAAAAGCTAAAATACTGCTGTTGCTTTGAAAAGTGCTTCTGCCATGGATTTATTTTATTTATTTATTTATTTTTTATTATACTTTAAGTTCTAGGGTGCATGTGCACAACGTGCAGGATTGATACATAGGTATACATGTGCCATGTTGGTTTGCTGCACCCATCAACTCGTCATTTACATTAGACATTTCTCCTAATGCTATCCCTCCCCCAGTCCCCCACCCTCCAAAAGGCCCGGTGTGTGACGTTCCCTACCCTGTGTCCAAGTGTTCTCACTGTTCAATTCCCACCTATGAGTAAGAACATACGGTGTTTGGTTTTCTGTCCTTGTGATAGTTTGCTGAGAATGATGGTTTCCAGCTTCATCCATGTCTCTGCAAAGGACATGAACTCATCCTTTTTTATGGCTGCATAGTATTCCATGTTGTATATGTGCCACATTTTTTTAATCCAGTCTATCACTGATGGACATTTGGGTTGGTTCCAAGTCTTTGCTATTGTCAATAGTGCCACAATAAACACATGTGTGCATGTGTCTTTATAGTAGCATGGTTTATAATTCTCTGGGTATATACCCAGTAATGGGATTGCTGGGTCAAATGGGATTTCTAGTTCTAGATCCTTGAGGAATCGCCACACTGTCTTCCACAATCGTTGAACAAATTTACACTCCCACCAACAGTGTAAAAGCGTTCCTATTTCTCCACGTCCTCTCCAGCATCTGTTGTTTCCTGACTTTTTAATGATCGCCATTCTAACTGGCGTGAGATGGCAACTCTTGTGGTTTTGATTTGCATTTCTCTGATGACCAGTGATGATGAGCATTTTTTCATGTGTCTGTTGGCTGCATAAATGTCTCCTTTTGAGAAGTGTCTGTTCATATCCTTTGCCTACTTTTTGATGGGGTTGTTTTTTTCTTGTAAATTTGTTTGAGTTCTTTGTAGATTCTGGATATTAGCCCTTTGTCAGATGGGTAGACTGCAAAAATTTTCTCCCATTCTGTGAGTTGCCTGTTCACTCTAATGGTAGTTTCTTTTGCCATGCAGAAGCTCTTTAGTTTAATTAGATCCCATTTGTCTGTTTTGGCTTTGGTGGCCATTGCTTTTTGTTTTAGTCATGAAGTCCTTGCCCATGCCTATGTCCTGAATGGTATTGCCTAGGTTTTCTTCTAGGGCTTTTATGGTTTTAGGTCTGACATTTAAGTCTTTAATCCATCTTGAATTAATTTTTGTATAAGGTGTAAGGAAGGGATCCAGTTTCAGCTTTCTACATATGGTTAGACAGTTTTCCCAGCACCATTTATTAAATAGGGAATCCTCTCCCCATTTTTTGTTTTTGTCAGGTTTGTCAAAGATCAGATGGTTGTAGATGTGTGGTGTTATTTCTAAGGGCTCTGTTCTGTTCCATTGGTCTATATCTCTGTTTTCGTACTAGTACCATGCTGGTTTGGTTACTGTAGCCTTGTAGTATAGTTTAAAGTTGGGTAGCATGATGCCTCCAGCTTTGTTCTTTTTGCTTAGGATTGTCTTGGCAATGAGGGCTCTTTTTTGGTTCCATATGAACTTTAAAATAGTTTTTTCCAATTCTGTGAAGAAAGTCATTGGTAGCTTGATGGGGATGGCATTGAATCTATAAATTACCTTGGGCAGTATGGGCATTTTCACGATACTGATTCTTCCTATCCATGAGCATGGAATGTTCTTCCATTCATTTCTGTCCTCTTTTATTTCATTGAGCAGTGGTTTGTAGCTCTCCTTGAAGAGGTCCCTCACATCTCTTGTAAGTTGGATTCCTAGGTATTTTATTCTCTTTGTAGCAAATGCAAATGGAAGCTCACTCATGATTTGGCTCTCTGGTTGTCTGTCATTGGTGTATAGGAACGCTTGTGATTTTTGCACATTGATTTTGTATCCTGAGACTTTGCTGAAGTTGCTTATCAGCTTGAGGAGATTTGGGGCTGAGATGAAGGGGTTTTCTAAATATACTATCATGTGATGTGCAAACAGGGACAATTTGACTTCCTCTTTTCCTAAATGAATACCCTTTATTTCTTTCTCTTGCCTGATTGCCCTGGCCAGAACTTCCAACACTATGTTGAATAGGAGTGGTGACAGAGGGCATCCTTGTCTTGTGCCAGTTTTCAGAGGGAATGCTTCCAGTTTTTGCCCATTCAGTATGACATTGGCTGTGGGTTTGTCATAAATAGCTCTTATTAATTTGAGATACATTCCATCAATATCTAGTTTATTGAGAGTTTTTAGCATGAAGGCCTGTTGAATTTTGTTGGCCTTTTCTGCATCTATTGAGATAATCATGTGGTTTTTGTTATTGGTTCTGTTTACGTGATGGATTACATTTATTGATTTGCATATGTTGAACCAGACTTGCATCCCAGGGATGAAGCCGACATGATCATGGTGGTTAAGCTTTCTGATGTGCTGCTGGATTTGGTTTGCCAGTATTTATCTTATTGAGGATTTTTGCATGGATGTTCATCAGGGATATTGGTCTAAAATTCTCTTTTTTTGTTGTGCCTCTGCCAGGCTTTGGTATCAGGATGATGCTGGCCTCATAGAATGAGTTAGGGAGGATTCCCTCTTTTTCTGTTGATTGGAATAGTTTCAGAAGGAATGGTATCAGCTCCTCTTTGTATCTCTGGTAGAATTCGGCTGTGAATCTGTCTGGTCCTGGACTTTTTTTGATTGGTAGGCTATTAATTATTGCCTCAACTTTAGAGCCTGTTATTGGTCTATTCAGAGATTCAACTTCTTCCAGGTTTAGTCTCGGGAGGGTGTATGTGTCCAGGAATTTATCCATTTCTTCTAGATTTTCTAGTTTATTTGCATAGAGGTGTTTATAGTATTCTCTGATGGTAGTTTGTATTTCTGTGGGATCGGTGGTGATATCTCTTTTATCATTTTTTTATTGCATCTTTTTTATTCTTCTCTCTTTTCTTCTTTATTAGTCTTGCTAGCAGTCTATCAATTTTGTTGATCTTTTCAAAAAACCAGCTCCCGGATTCATTGATTTTTTTGAAGGGTTTTTTGTGTCGCTATCTCTTTCAGTTCTGCTCTGATCTTAGTTATTTCTTGCCTTCTGCTAGCTTTGGAATTTGTTTGCTCTTGCGTCTCTAGTTCTTTTAATTGTGACGTTAGGGTGTCAATTTTATATCTTTCCTGCTTTCTCTTGTGGGCATTTAGTGCTATAAATTTCCCTCTACACACTGCTTTAAATGTGTCCCAGAGATTCTGGTATGTTGTGTCTTTGTTCTCATTGGTTTCAAAGAACATCTTTATTTCTGCCTTCATTCCATTATTTACCCAGTAGTCATTCAGGAGCAGGTTGTTCTGTTTCCATGTAGTTTTGCAGTTTTGAGTGAGTTTCTTAATCCTGAGTTCTAATTTGATTGCACTGTGGCCTGAGAGATAGTTTGTTGTGATTTCTGTTCCTTTACATTTGCTGAGGAGTGCTTTACTTCCAATTATGTTGTCAATTTTAGAATAAGTGTGATGTGGTGCTGAGAAGAATGTATATTCTGTTGATTTGGGGTGGAGAGTCCTGTAGATGTCTATTAGGTCTGCTTGGTGAAGAGCCGAGTTCAAGTCCTGGATATCTTATTAACCTTCTGTCTCATTGATCTGTCTAATATTGACAGTGGGGTGTTAAAGTCTCCCATTATTATTATGTGGGAGTCTAAGTCTCTTTGTAGGTCTCTAAGGACTTGCTTTATGAATCTGCATGCTCCTGTATTGGGTGCATATATATTTAGGATAGTTAACTCTTCTTGTTGAATTGATCCCTTTACCATTATGTAATGGCCTTCTTTGTCTCTTTTGATCTTTGTTGGTTTAAAGTCTGTTTTATTAGAGACTAGGATTGCAACCCCTGCTTTTTTTTTTTTTTTTTTTTTGCTTTCCATTTGCTTGGTAGATCTTCCTCCATCCCTTTATTTTGAGCCTGTGTGTGTCTCTGCATGTGAGATGGGTTTCCTGAATTCAGCACACTGATGGGTCTTGACTCTTAATCCAGTTTGCCAGTCTGTGTCTTTTAATTGGGGCATTTAGCCTATTTACATTTAAGGTTAATATTGTTATATGTGAATTTGATCCTGTCATTATGATGTTAACTGGTTATTTTGCCCATTAATTGATGCAGTTTCTTCCTAGCCTCGTTGGTCTTTACAATTTGGCATGTTTTTGCAGTGGCTGGTACCGGTTGTTTCTTTCCATGTTTAATGCTTCCTTCAGGAGCTCTTATAAGGCAGGCCTGGCGGTGACAAAATCTTTCAGCATTTGCTTGCCTGTAAAGGATTTTATTTCTCCTTCACTTATGAAGCTTAGTTTGGCTGGATATGAAATTCTGGGTTGAAAATCCTTTCTTTAAGAATGTTGAATATTGGCCCCTACTTTCTTCTGGCTTGTAGGGTTTCTGCCGAGAGGTCCGCTGTTAGTCTGATAGACTTTCCTTTGTGGGTAACCCGACCTTTCTCTCTGGCTGCCCTTAACATTTTTTCCATCATTTCAACCTTGGTGAATCTGACAATTATGTGTCTTAGGGTTGCTCTTCTCGAGGAGTATCTTTGCGGTGTTCTCTGTCTTTCTTGAATTTGAATGTTGGCATGCCTTGCTAAGTTGGGGAAGTTCTACTGGATGATATCCTAAAGAGTGTTTTCCAACTTGGTTCCATTCTCCCCATCACTTTTGGGTACACCAATCAAACACAGATTTGGTCTTTTCACATAGTCCCATATTTCTTGGAGGCTTTGTTCCTTTCTTTTTACTCTTTCTTCTCTAATCTTTTCTTCTTGCTTTATTTCATTAATTTGATCTTCAATCACTGATACCCTTTCTTCCACTTGATCGAATCAGCTATTGAAGCTTGTGCATGTGTCACGAAGCTCTCGTGCCATGGTTTTCAGCTCCGTCAGGTCATTTAAGGTCTTCTCTACACTGTTTATTATAGTTATCCATTCATCTAGCCTTTTTTCAAGGTTTTTAGCTTCCTTGCGATGGGTTTGAACATGCTCCTTTAGCTCAGAGAAGTTTGTTATTACTGACCTTTTGAAGCCCACTTCTGTCAACTTGTCAAAGTCCTTCTCCATCCAGCTTTGTTCCATTGCTGGCAAGGAGCTGCGATCCTTTGGAGGAGAAGAGGTGCTCTGGTTTTTAGAATTTTCAACATTTCTGCTCTGGTTTCTCCCCATCTTTGCGGTTTTATCTACCTTTTGTCTTTGATGTTGGTGACCTACAGATGGGGTTTTGGTGTAGATGAACTTTTTGTTGATGATGATGCTATTCCTTTCTGTTTGTTAGTTTTCCTTCTACTAGTCAGGTCCCTCAGCTGCAGGTCTGTTGGAGTTTGCTGGAGGTCCACTCCAGACCCTGTTTGCCTGGGTATCACCAGCGGAGGCTGCAGAACAGCAAATATTGCTGCCTGATCCTTCCTGTGGCAGCTTTGTCCCAGAGGGGCACCCACCTATATGAGGTGTCTGTCGGCCCCTGCTTGGTGGTGTCTCCCAGTTAGGCTACATGGGGGTCAGGGACCCACTTGAGGAGGCAGTCTGTCCGTTCTCAGAGCTCAAACGCCATGCTGGGAGAACCACTGCTCTCTTCAGAGCTGTCAGACAGGGATGTTTAAGTCTGCAGAAGTTGTCTGCTGCCTTTTGTTCAGCTATGCCCTGCCCACAGAGATGGTGTCTATAGAGGCAGTAGGCCTTGCTGAGCTGCAGTGGGCTCCACCCAATTTGAGCTTCCTGGCCACTTTGTTTACCTACTCAAGCCTCAGCAATGGTGGACGCTCCTACCCCAGCCAGGTTGCTGCCTCACGGTTCGATCTGACTGCTGCACTAGCAGTGAGCCTGGCTACATGGGCGTGGAACCTGCCAAGCCAGGCACAGGAGAGAATCGCCTTGTCTGCCGGTTGCTAAGACCTTGGGAAAAGCACAGTATTTGGGCAGAAGTGTCCTGTTTTTCCAGAGACAGTCTGTCACGGCTTCCTTTGGCTAGGAAAGGGAAGTCCCCTGACCCCTTGTGCTTCCTGGGTGAGGTGACACCCCACCCTGCTTTGGCTCACACTTCTTGGGCTGCACCCACTGTCCAACCAGTTCCAATGAGATGAACCAGGTACCTCAGTTGGAAATGCAGAAATCACCCATCTTCTGCATCGATCATGCTAGGAGCTGCAGACTGGACCTGTTCTTATTCAGCCATCTTGGAATGAAGCCCATGGATTTATTTTTTAAAGTATTTTAGTAACTAGGTCATGATCTCTTCAAATGACTTCCTAAGCAATTCAAGAATTAGTATATTTTGTTTTTTCCTTTCAGATAATGCCTACTGTTGTGAGCTAATGTTTTTCTCTTTATTCAACAATGTAAAAGAAGATTAGACAAGTGCCATGCTGTATTCCGTGAAGTATCTTTGAATAAGGGTAGGCACCTAAAATCTGGCATTGTAGCAATCATCAAAGGCAGAATGATGAACACAACTTTCTGCATAGTGAATCAAGAGCATTTCTAAGGAAAAAAGAAAAGACAACTTCTAATCCTATAGGACGAAATAGAATGCTTTAAAATGCATGGGGGTACAGCACATTATCCCACAGAAAATGGAGCATGGGAGACTGCATTTAGTTGCCTCAAATGAGAATGGGAAACCAGGGCAAAAACACTTTGTTCTTGTGGCAGTATCTGTCACTCCAAAGTAATGTTGGGAATTTGGGCATGCAGCCAGATAACTTATGCAGTTGGCATTAAACACATTTTTTTGTTTGATTTATTTGTATAATGCTTCTATTTTCTACTCTTGTTGTGTCTCAAGAGACCCTAACTGTGGCATACGGTAGGCACTAAGTGAGAACCAAGCAAGCTGCAACCGAGCTATGATAAAAAGATGTAACAAACACCAACCTTCTTCTGCTCAGGGATAAGTCCAGCTCATGGCTTGCAGTATTTCAAATGCAATATTCACTTTGCTGAAGTGGGCACAGGCCAAAATAAACTGATACTTTGCTGTTTTTTAATCAGGCTTATCTTTTCAAAATTCACAGAAGTCCTAACACTGTAAGGAAGGGAAATGGAGACTCTCTCCACAGGTAGCTATTAAATGATCAGAACCTGGTCACTCTAGGAGCTGAACTGATTGGTCTTTATCTCTCTGTGTGTCTTTTCTACCTAAGAGACTCCAGATCATTCTCCAAAGGCCAGTTCCAGCCCTACCATTTTGAAAAGT